>NC_000016.10:36084622-36260386 GCF_000001405.40 Homo sapiens
TATGGTGGAAAAGGAAATATCTTCCCATGAAAAGTAAACTAAAATATTATCAGATACTTCTTTGAGATGCGTGCATTCAACTCACAGAGTTGAACCTTTCTTTTGATAGAGCCATTTGAATCACTCTTTCTATAGAATATGCAAGTGGATATTTAGAGTGCTTAGAGGCCTATGGTGGAAAATTAAATATCTTCACATAAAAACTAGACAGAAGCATTCTCATAAACTACTTTGTGATGTGTGCATTCAACTCACAGAGTAGAACCTTTCTTTTGATAGAGCAGTTTTGAAACAATCTTTTTGTAGAATCTGCAAGTGGATATATGGAAAGCTTAAAGGCCTATGGTGGAAAAAGGAAATATCTTCACATAAAAACTAGACAGAAGCATTCTCAGAAACTTCTTTGTGATGTGTGCATTCAACTCACAGAGTTGAACCTTTCTTTTGATAGAACAGTTTTGAAACACTCTTTTTGTAGAATCTGTATGAGGATACTTGGACCACTATGAGGCCTTCAGTGGAAAAGGGATTATCTTCACATAAAAACTAGACAGAAGCATTCTCAGAAACTTCTTTGTGATGTGTGCATTCAACTCACAGAGTTGAACCTTTCTTTTGATAGAACAGTTTTGAAACACTCTTTTTGTAGAATCTGTATGAGGATACTTGGACCACTATGAGGCCTTCAGTGGAAAAGGGATTATCTTCACATAAAAACTAGACAGAAGCATTCACGGAAAGTTCTTTGTGATGTGTGCATTCAACTCACAGAGTTTAAACATTGTTTTGATAGAGCAGTTTTGAAACACTCTTTTTGTAGAATCTGCAAGTGGATATTTGGAGCGCTATGTGGCCTGTTGTGGAAAAGGAAATATCTTCGAATAAAAACGAGACAGAAGCATTCTCAGAAACTTCCTTGTGATGTGTGCATTCAACTCACAGAGTTGAACCTTTATTTTGATAGAGAAGTTTTGAAACACTATTTTTGAGGAATATGCATGTGGATATTTAGAGTGCTTTGAGGCCTATGGTGGAAAATTAAATATCTTCACATAAAAACTAGACAGAAGTATTCTCAGAAACTTCCTTGCAATGTGTGCACTCAACTTAAAGAGTTGAAACTTTATTTTGTTAGAGGAGATTTGATTCACTCTTTTAGTAGAATCTCCACGTGAATATATGGAGAGTTTAGAGGGCTATGTTGTAAAAGGAAATATCTTCACATAAAAACTATGCAGAAGCATTCTCAGAAACTTCCATGTGATGTCTGCATTCAACTCAAAGTGTTCAAACTTTCTTTTGATAGATCAGTTTGGAAACACTCTTTTATAAGAATATGCAAGTGGATATTTGCAGCGCTTTGAGGCCTACGGTGGAAAAGGAAATATCTTCACTTAAAAACTAGACAGAACTTTTCTCAGAAACTTTGTGCGATGTGTGCATTCAACTCACAGATTTGAATCTATCTTTTGATAGAGCAGTTTTGAAACACACATTTTGTAGAATCTACAAGTGGATATTTTGTTTCCTTTTGAGGCCTATAATGGAAAACGAACTATCTTCACAAAAAAAAAACTAAACAGAAGCATTCTCGGAAAATTCTTTGTGATGCCTGCATTCAACTCACAGAGTTGAACCTTTCTTTTGAAAGAGCAGATTTGAAAAACTCTTTTTGTAGAATCTGCAAGTGGATATTTGGAGTGCTTTCAGGCCTAAGGTGGAAGAGGAAATATCTTCCCATAAGAACTAAACTGAAACATTCTCAGAAACTTCTTCGTGTGCATTCAACTCACAGAATTGAACCTTTCCTTTGATAGAGCATTTCTGAAACACTCTTTTTGTAGAATCTGCAAGTGTATATTTTGTTCCCTTAGAGGCCTGTGCTGGAAAAAGAGAATCTTCACATAAAAACTACAGAGAAGCATTTTCTGAAAGTTTTTTGTGATGTGGGCATTCAACTCGAGAGCTGAACCTTTCGTTTGACAGAGCAGTTTTGAAACACTCTTTTTGTGGAATGTGCAAGTGGATATTTGGAGTGCATTGACGACTATGGTAGAAACGGAAATTTCTTCACATAAAAACTAGACAGAAGAATTCTCAGAACCTTCTTTGTGATGCGTGCATTCAACTCACAGAGTTGAACCTTTCTTTTGATAGTGCAGTTTGAAACACTGTTTTTGTAGAATCTGCAATTGGATATTTGTAGCGCTTAGAGACCTACTGTGGAAAAGGAAATATCTTCACATAAAAACAAGACAGAAGCATTCTCGGAAACTTCTTTGTGATCTGTGCATTGAACTCACAGAGTTGAACTTATCTTTTGATACAGCAGTTTTGAAAAACACATTTTGTAGAATATGTAAGTGGATATTTTGTTCCCTTTGAGGTCTATAATGGAAAACGAACTATCTTCACATAAAAACTAGACAGAAGCATTCTTCCAAACTTCTTTGTGATGTGTGCATTCAACTCAGAGAGTTGTAATTTTCTTTTGACAGAGCAGATTTGAAACACTCTTTTTGTATAATCTGCAAGTTGATATTTGGTGCCTTTTGAGGCCTCTGTAGGGAAACGAACTATCTTATCATAAAAACTAGGCAAAGACATTCTCAGAATCTGATTTGTGATGTGTGAATTCAACCCACAGAGTTGAACCTAACTTTTGATAGAGCAGTTTTGAAACACTCTTTTTGTAGCATCTGCATGTGGATATTTGGAGCGCTTTGAGGCCTACTGTGGGAAGGAAATATGTTCACATAAAAACTAGACATAAGCATTCTCTGAAACTACTTTGTGATGTGTGCATTCAAATCACAGAGTTGAATCTTTCTTTTGATAGAGCAGTCTTGAAACAACCCTTTTGTAGTTTTCTCAAATGGATATTTGGAGTGCTTTAAGGCCTATGACGTAAAAGGACATATCTTCAAATGAAAAATAGACAGAAGCATTCTTCGAAACTTCTTTGTGATGTGTGCATTCAGCTCACAGAGTTGAACATTTCTTTTGATAGAGCAGCTTTGAAACACTCTTTTTGTAGAATCTGCATGTGGAAAGTTGATTCCCTTTGAGGCCTATGTAGGAAAACGAAATATCTTCACATAATAACAAGACAGAAGCATTCCCAGAAAGTTCTTTGTGATGTGTGCATTAAACTCACAGCGTTGAACCTTTCTTTTGATAGAGCAGTTTTGAAACACTCTTTTTGTAGCATCTACAAATGGATACTTGGAGCGCTTTGAGGCCTATGGTGGAAAAGGAAATATCTTCCCATAAAAGCTAAACGAAAACATTCTCAGAAACTTCTTTGGATGCGTGCATTCAACTCACAGAGTTCAACCTTTCTTTTGATAGAGCAGTTTTGAAACACTGTTTTGTAGAATCTGCAAGTGGATATTTGGAGCGCTTTGAGGCCTATGGTGGAAACTTATATATCTTCACATAAAAACTAGACAGAAGCATTTTCAGAAACTTCTTGTGATGTGTGCATTCAACTCACAGAGTTGAACCTTTCTTTTGATAGAGCAGTTTTGAAACAATCTTTTTGTAGAATCTGCAAGTGGATATATGAAAGGCTTAAAGGCCTATGGTGGATAAGGAAATATGTTCGCATAAAAACTAGACAGAAGTATTCTCAGAAACTTCTTTGTGACGTGTTAATTCAACTCACAGAATTGAACTTATCTTTGGATAGTGCAGTTTTGAAACAAACATTTTGTACAATCTGCAAGTGGATATTTGTTTCCCTTTAAGGCTTATGATGGAAAAAGAACTATCTTCTCATAAAAACTAGAGAGAAGCATTCGCCAAAGCTTCTTTGTGATGTGTTCACTCAACTGACAGAGCTGAAAGTTTCTTTTGATAAAGCAGTTTTCAGACACTCTTTTTGTATAATCTGCAAGTTGATATTTGGTTCCTTTTGAGGCATATGTTGGAAAACGAAATATCTTCCCATAAAAGCTAGACAGCATTCTCAGAATCTTCTTTGTGTTGTGTGCATTCAACTTCCAGGGTTGAACCTTTCTTTTGTTAGAGCAGTTTTGAAACACTCTTTTTGTAGGATCTGCATGTGGATATATGGAGCACTGTGAGGCCTATGGTGGAAAAGGAATCATCTTCACATAAAAATAGACAGAAGCGTCCTCCGAAACTGTTTTGTGATGTGTGCATTCAACTCAGAGAGTTGAACATTTCTATTGACAGAGCAGTTTTGAAACACTCTTTGTAGAATCTGCAAGTGGATAATTGGAGTGCTTTAAGGCCTGTGGTGTAAAAGGAAATATCTTCACTTAAAAACTAGGCTGATGCATTCTCTGAAACATCTTTTTAATGTGTGTATTCTGCTGACAGAGTTGAATATTTCTTTTAACAGAGCAACTTTGAAACACTCTTTTTTTAGAATCTGCAAGTGAAAAGTTGGTTCCCTCTGAGGCCTCTGTTGGAAAACAGAATATCTTCACATAAAAACAAGACAGAAGCATTCTCAGAAAATTCTTTTTGATGTGTTCTTTCAACTCAAGGAGTTGCACCTCTCTTTTGATACAGCTGATTTGAAACACTCTTTTTGTAGAATCTGCAAGTGGATGCTTGGAGCACTTTGAAGCCTAAGGTGGAAAAGGAATTATCTTCACATAAAAACTAGACAGAAGCATTATCCGAAACTTTTTTATGATCTGTGCATTCAACTCACAGAGTTGAACCTTTCTTTTGATAGAGAAGTTTTGAAACACTCTTTTTGTAGGATCTGCAAGTGGATATTTGGAGCGCTTTGAGGCCTATGGTGGAAAAGGAAATATCTTCACATTAAAACTAGACAGAAGCATTCTCAGAAACTTCCTTGTGATGCTTGCATTCGACTCAAAGAGTTGAAAATTTCTTTTGATAGAGCAGTTATGAAACACTCTTTGTGTAGAATCTGCAAGTGGATATATGGAGCGCTGGGAGGCCAATGGTAGAAAAGGAAATATGTTCACATAAAAACTAGACAGAAGCTTTCTCAGAAACTTCCTTGTTATGTGTGCATTCAACTTATGAATTTGAAACTATCTTTTGATAGAGGAGTTTTGAAACACACATTTTGTAGAATCTGCAAGTGAATATTTGTTTCCCTTTAAGGCTTGTGATGGAAAACGAACTATCTTCACATAAAAACTAGACAGAAGCATTCGCCGAAGCTTCTTTGTGATGTGTTCACTCAACTCGCAAAGTTGAAAATTTCTTTTGATACAGCAGTTTTGAAACGCTCTTTTTGTATAATCTGCAAGTTGATATTTGGTTCCTTTTGAGGCCTATATTGAAAACGATATTTCTTCACATAAAAGCTAGACAGAAGAATTCTCAGAAAATTCTTTGTGATGTGTGCATTCAACTCAGAGAGTTGCTATAAAGACACATGCACACGTATGTTTATTGCAGCATTATTCACAATAGCAAAGACTTGGAACCAAACCAAATGTCCAACAATGATAGACTGGATTAAGAAAATGTGGCACATATACACCATGGAATACTATGCAGCCATAAAAAATGATGAGTTCATGTCCTTTGCAGGATGAGTATTTTTCTGTTGTTGTTTTAAATCTTCTCTTTAAACTTTGTTGAGTTAGTCTAGAGCCATCTGTAATTTGGAGCGAAATGAGCATTGTCACTAGGGCATGAACCTCCAGTGGTCTTTACTGAATATCCTGGAGGTACAGAGGGGATTCCCTTCTCTGGCTCATCAGAGCTAACGTGTCTTCCTGTCATGTGATGCCAGGGAAATGTTCTTCTTCCAACTCCCTGGTACAGTCCTTTGCTGAGCTCCTTAGAATTTCATCCTATGTACATTTGGCTTAGGGACTTGGGAGAATCCTTAGGCTGATTCTTGGTTCCTTTTTCTGTAAACGTTCTCTTCTACTACACATTACAGCTGCTTAACCTTTTTTGATTTTTATCTGGTTCCTCAGTGCAATGACAATGTCTGCTCTCTCTGGGATTCCTCTCTACTGCTGTCACGGAGAATCTGGGAATAAAGCAGGCCTCATTCTGTCTCCTTCTCTTCTCTTGTGGAGCACAGTCATGTGCTGCCTGATGTTCAGTACTTCAAAAAAATGTTTCATATATTTTGTCCAGTTTACTATTCTTTAACTCTAAAAGTGTAACTCCAGTCCCAGTTACAGCATCATGTTCTGTAGCTCTACTCCTTGTTGCTTCATTCTGCCATTGTCTGGTATGATCTCCCCTTTCCCTTCTGTAATCAGGCCAAGAGCATAATATAATACTAGTTATAACTGCACAGGTTGCCTCCGTTGTGTAAAAAAATCACTGAGACTTAACTGTGTCCAACTTTTAAAATGTGAATATAAGTACAAAGAAAGCTATATTTTGCTTAATATTTGCATTGCATGCTTTTCCATTATTTACTTTCAACATACGTGAAATATGAATATAAATTATAAAAACTTTAAGAGAGTCCATTTAAAAAATCTGGTCTGGTTATGGTTTACCTGGTTTAATACAACGTGCATTCTTGAATTCAGGGTCTAATATAATTGGTACATCTGTCTATTTGCAAAAAAAAAACTTGACAATATTTTAAAATTAATTTATCCAACTCACAACTTATATGCTTCTGCCGTTGTATGGAAGATACATTTTAAACTTTATGAGATAGCATTCTGTTATACAGTCAATATCCAATTAAATTTCTCTCTATGTTTATTTCTTTCATTAAAAAAATGTTCTTCTAACTGAAAACTTTCATCAGGGATCATGGTTCTTCTACCTGAAGAATAATCTTTAGTATTTCTTTTCCTGTGGGTCTGCTTGGGAGAAATTCTTTATTGTATCTTTGCTTTTGATGGATATGTCCACCAAGTAGACAGTTCTAGGTCAGCACTTATTTTATTTCAGGACTTGAAAGATATCAATACCTCACTTGTTGGCTTTCATTGTTTCATTTGAGAAAGTTGTTATCATTCAACTCTTTCTCTTTCTAGTTAGCCCAATTTTTTTTATCAAGTGCTCTTTACATTTATCTTTTACTTTTCAGAAATTGTCCCATTATGTTTCTAGATGCGTCCTCTGTGTGTGTTTTCCTTTGCTTTGAAAAGCCTCCTGAACCTGTCGTTTAATATTATTGGTCAATTTTGATAAAACCTCTAACATTGCCACTTAAAATGCTGTTCAGACAAGCTGTTTTCTCTTTCTTAGATTTCAACGTGTTAGATTATTACTCTATCCTTCATATTTTTTAAATGACCTTTCTCTACAATTTTTTTAGTTGGTTAATCTGTATTAGTGTATATTTTGTTATTTTATTCTATTTTATTTTATTATTATACCTTAAGTTTCAGGATACATGTGCGCCATGTGCAGGTTTGTAACATAAGTGTTCATGTGCCATGTTGGTGTGCTGCACCCATTAACTCGTCATTTAGCATTAGGTATATCTCCTAATGCTATCCCTCCCCACTCACCCCAGCCCACAACAGTCCCTGAAGTGTGATGTTCCCCTTCCTGTGTCCATGTGTTCTCATTGTTCAATACCCACCTATGAATGATAACATGTGGTGTTTGGTTTTTTGTCCTTGTGAGAGCTTACTGAGAATGATGATTTCCAGTTTCATCCATGTCCCTACATAGGACACGAACTCATCATTTTTTGTGGCTGCATAGTACACCATGGTGTATAAGTGCCTCATTTTCTTAATCCAATCTATCGTTGTTGGACATTTGGGATGGTTCCAAGTCTTTGCTATTGTGAAAACTGCCACAATAAACATACGTGTGCATGTGTCTTTATTGCAGCATGATTTATAGTCCTTTGTGTATATACCCAGTAATGGAATGGCTGGGTCACATGGTATTTCTAGTTCTAGATACTTGAGGAATCGCCACACTGACTTCCACAATGGTTGAACTAGTTTACCATCCCACCAACAGTGTAAAAGTGTTCCTATTTCTCCACATCCTCTCCAGCACCTGCCGTTTCCTGACTTTTTAATGATCACCATTCTAACTGGTGTGAGATGGTATCTCATTGTGGTTTGATTTGCATTTCTCTGATGACCAGTGATGATGAGCATTTTTTCATGTGTTTTTTGGCTGCATAAATGTCTTCTTTTGAGACGTGTCTGTTCGTGTCTTTCACCCACTTTTTGATAGGGTTGTTTGTGTTTTACTTGTAAATTTGTTTGAGTTCATTGTTGATTCTGGTTATTAGCCCTTTGTCAGATGAGTAGGTTGCAAAAATTTTCTCCCATTTTGTAGGTTGCCTGTTCACTCTGATGGTAGCTTCTTTTGCTGTGCAGAAGCTCTTTAGTTTAATTAGATCCCCTTTGTCAATTCTGGCTTTTGCTCCCATTGCTTTTGGTGTTTTAGACATGAAGTCCTTGCCCAGGCCCATGTCCTGAATGGTATTGCCTAGGTTTTCTTCTAGGGTTTTTATGATTTTAGGTCTAACATGTAAGTCTTTGATCCAACTTGAATTAATTTTTGTATAAGGTGTAAGGAAGAGATCCAGTTTCAGCTTTCTACATATGGGTAGCCAGTTTTCCCAGCACCATTTATTAAATACGGAATCCTTTCCCCATTGCTTGTTTTTGTCAGGTTTGTCAAAGATCAGACAGTTGTAGCTATGCAGCATTATTTCTGAGGGCTCTGTCCTGTTCCATTGATCTATGTCTGTGTTTTGGTACCTGTAACATGCTGTTTTGGTTACTGTAGCCTTGTAGTATAGTTTGAAGTCAGGTAGTGTGATGCCTCCAGCTTTGTTCTTTTGGCTTAGGATTGACTTGGCAATGCGGGCTCTTTTGGTTCCATATGTACTTTAAAGTCGTTTTTTCCAATTCTGTGAAGAAAGTCATTGGTAGCTTGATGGGGATGGCATTGAATCTGTAAATTACCTTGGGCAGTATGGCCATTTTCAAGATATTGATTCTTCCAACCCAAGAGCATGGAATGTTCTTCCATTTGTTTGTATCCTCTTTTATTTCATTGAGCAGTGGTTTGCAGTTCTCCTTGAAGATGTCTTTCATGTCCCTTGTAAGTTGGGTTCCTAGGTATTTTATTCTCTTTGAAGCAATTGTGAATGGGAGTTCCCTCATGATTGGGCACTCTGTTTGTCTGTTATTGGTGTACAAGAATGCTTGTGATTTTTGTAGATTGATTTTGTATCCTGAGACTTTGCTGAAGTTGCTTATCAGCTTAAGGAGATTTTGGGCTGAGACAATGGGGTTTTCTAGATATACAACCATGTCATCTGCAAACGGGGACAATTTGACTTCCTCTTTTCCTAATTGAATACCCATTGTTTCCTTCTCCTGCCTGATTGCCCTGGCCAGAACTTCCAACACTATGTTGAATAGGAGTGGTGAGAGAGGACATCCCTGTCGTGTGCCAGTTTTCAAAAGGAATGCTTCCAGTTTTTGCCCATTCAGTATGATATTGGCGGTGGGTTTGTCATAGGCAGCTCTTATTATTTTGAGATAAGTCCCATCATTACCTAATTTATTGAGAATTTTTAGCATGAAGGGCTGTTGAATTTTGTCAAAGGCCTTTTCTTCATCTATTGAGATAATCATGTGGTTTTTGTCCTTGGTTAGGTTTATATGGTGGATTACGTTTATCGATTTGCATATGTTGAACCAGCCTTGCATCCCAGGGATGAAGCCCACTTGTTCATGGTGGATAAGCTTTTTGATGTGTTGCTGGATTCAGTTTGCCAGTATTTTATTGAGGATTTTTGCACCAATGTTCATTAAGGATATTGGTCTAAAATTCTCTTTTTTTGTTGTGTCTCTGCCCGGCTTTGGTATCAGGATGATGCTGGCCTCATAAAATTAGTTAGAGAGGAATCCCTCTTTTTCTATTGATTGGAATAGTTTCAGAAGGAATGGTACCAGTTCCTCCTCGTACCTCTGGTAGAATTCTGCTGTGAATCCATCTGGTCCTGGACTCTTTTTGGTTGGTAAGCTATTGATTACTGCCACAATTTCAGAGCCTGTTATTGGTCTATTCAGAGATTCAACTTCTTCCTCGTTTAGTCTTGGGAGAGTGTATGTGTTGAGAAATTTATCCATTTCTTCTAGATTTTCTAGTTTATTTGTATAGAGGTGTTTGTAGTTTTCTGTGATGGTAGAATGTATTTCTGTGGGATCGGTGGTGATAATCCCTTTATCATTTTTTGTTGCGTCTATTTGATTCTTCTCTCTTTTCTTCTTTATTAGTCTTGCTAGTGGTCTATCAATTTTGTTGATCTTTTCAAAAAACCAGCTGCTGTATTCATTAATTTTTTGAAGGTTTTTTTGTGTCTCTATTTCCTTCAGTTCTGCTCTGATTTTAGTTATTTCTTGCCTTCTGCTAGCTTTTGAATGTGTTTGCTCTTGCTTTTAAAGTTCTTTTAATTGTGATGTTAGGGTGTCAATTTTGGATCTTTCCTGCTCTCTCTTGTGGGCATTTAGTGCTATAAATTTCCCTCTACACACTGCTTTGAGTGTGTCCCAGAGATTCTGGTATGTTGTGTCTTTGTTCTCGTTGGTTTCAAAGAACATCTTTATTTCTGCCTTCATTTTATTATGTACCCAGTAGTCATTCCAGAGCAGGTTGTTCATTTTCCATGTAGTTGAGCGGTTTTCAGTGAGTTTCTTAATCCTGAGTTCTAGTTTGATTGCACTGTGGTCTCAGAGACAGTTTGTTATAATTTCTGTTCTTTTACATTTGCTGAGGAGAGCTTTACTTCCACCTATGTGATCAAGTTTGGAATGGGTGAGGTGTGGTGCTGAAAAAAATGTATATTCTGTTGATTTGGGGTGGAGAGTTCCATAGATGTCTATTAGGTGCGCTTCGTGCAGAGCTGAGTTCAATTCCTGGGTGTCCTTGCTAACTTTCTGTCTCATTGATCTGTCTAATGTTGACAGTGTCATGTTAAAATCTCCCATTATGTTTGTGGGGTAGTCTAAGTCTCTTTGTAGGTCACTCAGGACTTGCTTTATGAATCTGGGTGCTCCTGTATTGGGTGCATATATATTTAGGATAGTTAGCTCTTCTTGTTGAATTGATCCCTTTACCATTATGTAAAGGCCTTCTTTGTCTCTTTTGATCTTTGTTGGTTTAAAGTCTATTTTATCACAGACTAGGATTGCAACCCCTGCCTTTTTTTGTTTTCCATTTGCTTGGTAGACCTCCCTCCATCTCTTTATTTTGAGTCTATGTGTGTCTCTGCACATGAGATGGGTTTCCTGAATACAGCACACTGATGGGTCTTGTCTCCTTATCCAATTTGCCAGTCTGTTTCTTTTAATTGGATTATTTAGCCCATTTACATTTAAAGTTAATATTGTTATGTGTGAATTTGATCCTGTCATTATGATGTTAGCTGGTTATTTTGCTCGTTAGTTGATGCAGTTTCTTCCTAGTCTCAATGGTCTTTACAATTTGGCATGTTTTTGCAGTGGCTGGTACCAGTTGTTCCTTTCCAGGTTTAGTGCTTCCTTCAGGAGCTCTTTTAGGGCAAGCAAATCTCTCAGCATTTGCTTGTCTGTAAAGGATTTTATTTCTCCTTCACTTATGAAGCTTAGTTTGGCTGGATATGAAATTCTGGGTTGAAAATTCTTTTCTTTAAGAATGTTGAATATTGGCCCCCACTCTCTTCTGGCTTGAAGAGTTTCTGCCGAGAGATCAGCTGTTAGTCTGATGGGCTTCCCTTTGTGGGTAACCCGAACTTTCTCTCTGGCTGCCCTTAACATTTTTTCCTTCATTTCAACTTTGGTGAATTTGACAATTATGTGTCTTGGAGTTTCTCTTCTTGAGGAGTATCTTTGTGGCGTTCTCTGTGTTTCTTGAATCTGAATGTTGGCCTGCCTTGCTAGATTGGGGAAGTCCTCCTGGATAATATCTTGCAGAGTGTTTTCCAACTTAGTTCCATTCACCCCGTCACTTTCAGGTACACCAATCAGACATAGGTTTGGTCTTTTCACAGAGTCCCATAATTCCTGGAGGCTTTGTTCATTTCTTTTTATTCTTTTTTCTCTAAACTTCCCTTCTCCCTTCGTTTCATTCATTTCATCTTCCATCACTGATTCCCTTTCTTCCAGTTGATTGCATCAGCTCCTGAGGCTTCTGCCTTCTTCATGTAGTTCTTGAAACTTGACTTTCAGCTCCATCAGATCCTTTAAGCATTTCTCTGCATTGGTTATTCCAGTTATACATTCGTCTAATTGTTTTTCAAAGTTTTTAACTTCTTTGCTATTGGTTTGAATTTCCTCCTGTAGCTCGCAGTAATTTGATCATCTGAAGCCTTCTCTCAAATCGTCAAAGTTATTCTCTGTCCAGTTTTGTTCCGTTGCTGGTGAGGAACTGCATTCCTTTGAAGAAGGAGAGGCACTCTGCTTTTTAGAGTTTCCAGTTTTTCTGCTCTGTTTTCTCCCCATCTTTGTGGTTTTATCAACTTTTGGTCTTTGATGATGGTGATGTACAGATGGGTTTTTGGTGTGGGTGTCTTTTCTGTTTGTTAGTTTTCATTCTAACAGACAGGACCCTCAGCTGCAGGTTTGTTGGAGTTTAGTAGAGGTCCACGCCAGACCCTGTTTGCCTGGGTATCAGCAGCGGTGGCTGCAGAACAGCGGATTTTCATGAATCACAAATTCAGCTGTCTGATCATTCCTCTGGAAGTTTGGTCTCTGAGGACTACCTGGCTGAGTGAGGTGTCAGTCTGTCCCTACAGGGGGGTGCCTCCCAGTTAGGCTGCTTGGGGTTCAGTGACCCACTTTAGGAGGCAGTCTGCCCAGTCTCAGATCTCCAGTTGCATGCTGGGAGAACCACTACTCTCTTCAAAGCTGTCAGACAGGGACATTTAATTCTGCAGAGGTTACTGCTGACTTTTTGTGTGTCTATGCCCTGCCCCCAGAGGTGGAGCCTACAGAGGCAGGCAGGCCTCCTGGAGCTGTTGTGGGTTCCACCCAGTTCCAGCTGTCTGGCTGCTTTGTTTACCTAAGAAAGCCAGGGCAATGGTGGGACCCACTCCCCCAGCCTTGCTGCCACCTTGCAGCTTGATCTCAGAGTGCCGTGCTAGCAATCAGCAAGACTCCATTGGCATAAGACCCTCCGAGCCAGGTGCAGGACACAATCTCCTGGTGTGCTGTTTTCCAAGCCTGTTGGAAAACTGCAGTATTAGGGTGAGAGTGACCCGATTTTCCAGGTGCCATCTGTCACCTCATTCTTTGACTAGGAAAGGGAACTTCCTGACCCCTTGTGCTTCCTGAGTGAGGCAATGCCTCACTGTGCTTTGGCTCCCACAAGGTGGGCTGCACCCACTGTCCTGCACCCACTGTTTGGCACTCCCTTAGTGAGATGAACCCGGTACCTCAGATGGAAATGCTGAAATCACCAGTCTTCTGCGTCGCTCATGCTGGGAGCTGTAGACCGGAGCTGTTCCTATTCGGCCATCTTGGCTCCACCCCTCATTTCATTATTTCATCATTTCATTTCATCATTTCATACCATTTCTTCATTACATCAATTCATCATTTCATTTCATTTCACCATTTCACTTCATCATTTCATTTCAGCATTTCATTTCCTCATTTCATTGCACCATTTCATTTCATCATTTCATCATTTCATTTCATTTCAGCATTTCATTTCATCATTTCACCATTTCATTTCATCTCATCATTTCATTTCATATCATCATTTTATCATTTAATTTCATTTCATCATTTCATCATTCCGTTCCATCATTTCATTTCATGTCATCATTTCATCATTTCATTTCATTTCAGTGATACATGTATTTAAGTGCTAATGTGATGCCCAGGAAACACCCTATTTCCCTTTGTAAAACACCTCCTTCAACAAAACTCAACCTCTCATTGCTGGCTAAGTCTACAGGGATACCAGCCTCTCTTCAACCACCCAATTTGATTCAGAACCTCAAAGAGCACCTCAGTTTCATAAAAACCTAAAACATAAACACAACACTTGGTTGTAAGTGAGCCAACAGTTTCTTGTCTCTTTCTCTGCTCAAGGCTTAAGGCCGTGTCTCCCCAACTATGTTCAGTGGAAGAAAAGATCCCCTGGACAAATAAGTTTGAGAACTGTTGTTGCAGGACTTCTGAGAACCTTTAAAACACAAATCCTCATCCGCAGGGATCTTCAGGAGGGAGATGGCTGATGCAGCACCACTTTCTTTCACAGGAGCATCTTGCAGAATACATTATGAGATGCAGAAAGGCTGCATTGAGTCTTTTTAAGGGCCAGAGCCTTTGTGGCAGTGGGGTAGGAGCTCTCCAGATAGCATCTAATGAGTAGGAACATTCAGGTTGCTTTTTTTTCCCTTACTGGCAAAACTGTGTGTGCATCATGAATGAAGCTGGTCTCCCTCATCCATATCAAAACTATACCCAAATTAATTGGCTAAATTGGGACTCAACACCTCCAGGAGCCATGTGGAAGAAAGCCCCACCACAATTTAAAGTAGCTTACCTCATCATATTTGAGGAAAGCAAAACGCTTATGACCAGTATGCTGCTAATACATGTCAACAGATAATGCTGTATGAAAAATTATTTTTCCCAATCATAGCTAGCATAGTCCACATTTTGCATAACACCTTCCCTCCTTTTTTAAAACTTTAAACACAGGTCCTTTTCTCTCCTTTTTTTAATTTTTAATTTAATTATACAAGATGGAGTCTCAGTATTTTGCCCAGGCTGGTCTTCAACTCCTGAGATCAAACGATACATCCATCTCCGCCTCCCAAAGTGCTGAGATGACAGGCCTGAGACACTGTGCCCAGCCTTAAACACAAATCTTAATTCATTCTTACAATTATCCTGAGGTTAGAAAAATGGAAGGGGAAGAAAAATGGTAAGCAGGTAGGCTGACTTCGGCTTCATTATTTGGAAGGACAGTTTGCTCGGTTAAAACACACTACTGCCCACAAAGGCCAAGACAACAGAAAAATACAGACATATAAATAGATTTTATATGTGACAGCAGTTTGAATGGAGACTTTTTCAATGCAAATGGCAAACAGCTGTCCTTGGGAATAAATGACAACGAATTTTTTTCATCTCAACAGCTGTCCTGAGAGCATGTCTCTACATCTCTACCTGCATTCTGGAGTCAGGGAGAAAGCCAAAACGGACGACAAGACACTAGATCAGCCGTGTCCAACCCTTTGACTACAAGGACTTTTCCACCTAACTGTGGTGGTGGGTATCATGAAAATTATGCACAAACTTTTTTTTTTTAAACTCATCAGCTATAATTAGCAGTAGTGTATTTTATCTGTGGCCCAGGAGCATTCTTCTTCCAATGTGGCCCTGAGAAGCCAAAAGACTGGACACCTGTGCACTAGATCAAAAGGCTACTCCTTCTGGAAGCAATTGTAAAGAATTTCTGACATTATCTTGACATGAAAATCAATGGATAGTGGGACAGAATGCAAAATCTTCAAGAATTTTTCTTGTTGGTTTTTTTTTTTTCTTTTTTGAGTCAAGGTGTTGCTCTGTGGCCCAGGCTGGAATACACTAGTGAGATCACAGCTCAGTGCAGGCTCAAGTGCTCCTCCCGCCTCAGCCACAGTAGTAGCTAGGACTACAGATGCGCACAACCACCCCTGGATAATATTTTATTTTTTGTAGAGATGGGGTCTCATTATATTGTCCAGGTTGGTCTCAAACTCCTTGACTCAAGGGATCCAGGATAGGATAACAGGCGTGAGCCACCACACCTGGCTATGCGCATGAACTTTTAAGACAAATACAAGGCTCCACAAAAGTTAAGGTTTTCCCACCTAATTTCCAGGGGATCTTTTGGTGCAAGGATGAGAAACCCTTAAAAGTACACAGACATCTCCAAAGATTCAAGACAGTTCATTTGGGCTGAGCCAGCCCACTGGGCAGACTGACCTTCAAACAAGGCCCACCCATGACATACACCAGATGGCTCTCCAAGAATCTCTCCAGTTCTCAGGGTCCCTAAGGTACTGGACAGAGCTGGGAAAGCAAACCCATTTGCTTCTTCCTGCAGGAAACCCCTTGAGGTCAAGACCCCACAATCAGACGAGGATGGAGTGGCTCACCCTCAGTCAACAGGCCAGGCTCAAGGTGGTATAATGTCTTAACCAAGGGTGTGGGACTCCAGGTCTGAATCCGAACTCAGTTCTCCTTTGATAACCACACTTTGTTAATTTTCCTTAACAGGGGTTCCTGGCAAGTCATTTCTCCCTCAGGCCTTCGGTTTCCTCACCTACAAGATGAGAAGGCTGCACCAGATGGAAATTCGGGACGTAAGGGGATGTCCACACGCAGCCCACCCTGCCCACGGGCCCCTCGAGCCTCCATCACAGTTCCCAACACGCACCCGGCCCACAAATCCTGCCCAAGGTGAGGGCTGGTCCTGGGACCTGCGGCTGCCGCATCAGCGAGTGCAGGAGGGAGGAGAAGCCTCCAAGGGGGTGACGCGGGCTCAAGGATGCAACTCGGCCAGGAGTGAACTGGGGCCCCTGGGAGATGTCCAGTCCGGTGCTGGAGCCCAGCCCTGGTCCCCGACCCCCTTACCTGCACGGTCCGTATCTCCTGCTGGGTGACGTCCTTGGACACAGCGCACTTGGTGCGCAGCCCGCGCAGGCTGCCAACGGAGATGCCGATGAGCTTCTGGAGCTGCCCGCACTGCTGCAGCACCCGGCTGGCTGCGGCCCCTGTGCTTCCCTCCGCGATAGCCGCGTCACCCCCTCCACAGACCTCCTTCTTCTCTCCCATCAGGGCCGAGCGCAGCGCCGTTCTATGCAGGCTGCAGCGGCCCAGGAACAGAGCCTGGGGTGCGGGTGTCTAGGCAAGGAACCCCCGAACCAGGAGAGCTGGACCAGGAGTGACCCTCGGCGCTGCCTTAGCCAGGACGACGGTAGATCTGGCAGCCTAGTCTGCCGATCCCGCCCTCAGACCCGCGGCGGTGGGGGCAAAAACCCGCGACGGCGGTGTGAAAAAGCCGCATTGGTAAAAACCTGTGGCGGCGGGAGTAAAAAGCCGCATCGGCAAAAAGCCGCGGTGGCGGGGAAAAAGCCGCGGTGATGGGGGCAAAAAGCCGCGGCGGCGGGGGGCAAAAAGCCGCAAAAAGCCGCAACGTGGGGTCAAAAAGCCGGGGCGGTGGGGGAAAAAGCCGGGACGATGGGGGCATCAAGCCACGGCGGCCGAGGCAAACAGCCTCGGCGACAATAAGCTGCGTGGCAGGGGCAAAAAGCTGCGGCGGCGGGGGCAAAAAGCTGCGGTGACTGGGTAAAAAGCCGTAAAAAGCCGCAGCGTCGGGGGCAGAAAGCCGCGACGGCAGGAGCAAAAAGCCGCGGCTGCAAAAAGATGCGGCGGCGGGGGCAAAAAGGCGCGGCGGGGGCAAAACGGTGAGGCGGCGGCAAAAAGCCGCGGCGGCGGGGGCAAAAAGCCTCAAAAAGCCGCGGCGTCTGGTGCCAAAAGCCGCAAAAAGCCGCGGCAGAGGGGGCAAAAAGCAGGGGCGGCAAAAAGCCACGACGGCGGGGACATGAAGCCGCAAAAACCCTCGGCGGCAGGGGCAAAAACGCATGGCGGCGGAGGCAAAAAGCGGCTGGGGTGATAAAAAGCCGCGGCGGCGGGGGCAGGAAGCCACGTAGGGGGCAAGGAGCCGGGGCGGAGGGTGTAAAAAGCTGCGATGGCGGGGGCAAAAAGCCGCAAAAGCATGGGCAGTGGGGTCAAGAAGAGGCGGCAGGAAAAACCTGCGGCAGCGGGGTAAAAAAGCCGCGGCGGCGGGGGCGAAAAGGCGTAAAAAGCCGCGGTGCTGGGGGACAAAAGCCGCGGCGGCAAAAAGCTGCAAAAAGCCGGGGCGGCAGGGCAAGAAGCCATAAAAAGCCGCAGCGGCGGTGACAAAAAGCCGCAGAGAAAAAATTCACGGTGGTGGGGGCAAAAAGCTGCGGCAGCAGGGGGTAAAAAGCCTCAAAAAGCCGCGGCGGCGGGGGGAGAAAGACGCAAAAAGCTGCGGCGGCGAGGGCAAAGAGCCCCAAAAAGCCGCGGCGGCAGGGGCTAAATTCCGCGAGACCGGGGGCAGAAAGCCGCAAAAAGCCGCATCGGCGGGGGCAAAATAGTCGAAATGGGGTAGAAGGCCAGCACAGCTTGGCATTCCTGGAGTGTGATGTGGAAGGAAAAGTGAAGAGGAAGACAAACAAAGATGTAAGTAGGCTTGACTCCGTGCATCTAAGAACCCAGATGTTATCTTGATGTTATCTATCAGCTAATTTTTTGTATTTTAGTAGAGAAGGGGTTTTACCGCGTTGGCCAGGATGGTCTCGATCTCCTGACCTCATGATCCACGCACCTCAGCCTCCCAAAGTGGTGGGATTAGAGGCATGAGCCACAAAGTGCTCAAAAAATCTATTAATTAAAAAATGTGTATGTAGCCGTCTTTAATCTACCATGTCCATTAGCAGATAAATACTACAAGCAAAATAACAAAATGAAAGAAACATAGAGTAGATACTCTGATTTATTTAATAAAAATTTGAAAATAGACCAAATTACTCTATGATAAAAAAAAATCTGTTACTATTGAGGATGAGGGTTAGTGTTTGGAAAGGGGCAGGAGAAGTATCTCTATTTTTAGTAATGTTCTATTTTCATACATGGTTATAAGCAAATACATGTGTTTCATTAATGAAGCTATCCATATTTAATCATTGTACTTTTCTGCATGTATGATATATGTCAATAAATGTCTTAAATTATACACAGCAAAAATAGACAAAAACACAAGAAGACATACACAAATGTTAAACCTAGAGAGAAATTTGAATATAAGTAAGTCTCTGAATGACTGGTAGAACAAACGAAAAATAGGATGGAGAGGTTTGGAACAGCATGATTAGGAAAATTGACATATCTGTCTTTTAATATAGGTAGAAACATAGCCAGATTAAAAAAAGGACTTGTCTCAGAGCATGATTTCTGAAAATAGTGGAATCGAGTTTGAATCTAGTAAGTACATATAAATAAATGTCTTAAAACTCTTCTTATGTTAGCTAATTAAGAAATATTATTGTAATAGACATTAGAAAATATTTTAATAAATTGAGTGCATTTCACACGCTAAGGAAATGATCTTACTTGCATTTGATAGTTGAATTAGATACATATATACCTATAGGTAGTTTAAAATATTTCCAATAACCTTATATACTTTTAAAAAGCATTGATATCTGTTTGCACTATCTGGTCTATAGAGTACACATACCAAACATGATTATAGCTCTTCTGCTGTAAACTTCAAATGTCTAATTAATACAAAAATCTAGAATGAGAAGAGTTCTTTGCAATTTTTTTTTTACCAAATAGAGTATAGGAAAGATAGCTGCAAATATACCTGACACACTTATCTGTGAGTATGGTGGTAGCCTTTTTATTTTATTTTATTTTGAGAGAGGGTCTCACTTTGTCACCCAAGATGGAGTGCAGTCATGTGATCAGAGCTCACTGAAGCCTTCACATAGTGTGCTCAAGCGATTCTCCCACCTCAGTCTCCTGAGTAGCAGGGACTGCAAGTGCACGCCACCATACTAGCTAATTTTTGTAAAGATGGTGTTTCACCATGTTGCCCTGGCTGTTCTCCATCTCCTGGACTCAAGAGATCTGGCCACCTTGGCCTCCCAAAGTGCTGGGATTATAGTTTTGGGGCACCGTGATCAGCCCAGCCTTAAAAAAGGCAGACTAGAGATCTTTATCTATGTATATCTATATCTATCTATAAAATAAACATATGTGTTCCTTATATAAAAATATATATTATTATATAAAATTTTTTTTCAAGGTAGAAATATATAAAGAGGGTGCATGTAGAGCCTGGGGCATTGTGTAGTGAAGCTCAAGGCCTCTGAAGAAATGCCCATTGCCTCTTTTGTCTGGGCTAGAATCCGAGAAGGGAAAGCAGCAGATGCACTGGTTCCCAGGTTCTTGGCATCCTACAGAGAGAAACTTGTTGAGCTAGGGTAGTGTTTAACACCGTTATTCTTACTCTTCTGTTTTATGTAGTAAGCAGAGACTAGCTTCATGAGAACAGACAGTGACAGTCAAGGCTGTCTGTTATTTTCTGCAGCATTAATTGAGAAATTCTAGCACCTGAAGACCTCTGGGCCATTTGAGGGTAGGTGCAGGGGAGGAAAGGGAAGTTTGCATCCCTCCTGCTTTGGAGAGAACCCGTGGGAAGGACAGACCTTGTCCTAACTGAAGACAGAACCCCTTGCTAACCAGCTTCTCATCAGCCAACCCTGGATGAGTTTCCATGTCTATTTACTAAATAATCCTTATTGCTCTTCTTCATATGGGCAAAGTATGGTTTACAGGGAATATTGTTCCTTTGAACACCCATCGTGGAAACCCCTTCCTGTTGTGGGAAAACAGGCTTCCATATGTGTCTTATTGGGAAACACATAGGCAATTTCTATGTTTTTACTGCATCTCTTTCAGGGATATGGGAACTGAATAGTGCCCATCAAAGTCTCACCTGATGTTGGAAATTGATCTGAGAGCGCAGAAGGACAGAATTCTTTCTTTGTTCCTGGGCAGCGGTGGTTGAGGGATCATTTTGTGGCAGCTACAGTGGCAATGATGGAGGCAGAATGGAGGGCTCAGTACCAAGACAAGGAGAGACTTGGCCTCACAATGGCAGCATTGCAGGGGTGCGCTCTACAGAGCATTTGCTCACATGGTTTTGGGCATTGTCTCTAACTACATTGCTTCCCCAATAGGTTGACCCATTCTAACTAACTCCTTTTCTCTTTAAAAAAGCAAACTTCATTTGTATGTCTTGCAATTGTAAACGACACCAACTGGCCAGTTATCATTCAAATTCTCTGTTACTTAATCCTGCCTTTTCCTGACGTATGCAACTTTCACCTAAAAAATTGGACACTTTGTTGCTTACTCATTGTCTTTACACATTTTAAAATGTTGCTTTGTGCCCCCAATCCCTAACTACATTTTCAATGTTTTGCAAGTGGAGTCCATGTGTTCTTGATTTACATGAAGCTCAAAATAATGGTTATAGTAACTAGTACTTCATAATTAAATGAAAAGCTCTTATTGAAAAATGACAGAACTATACATAGGGATGAGAACATGGAGAGATATTTCGTGAGATCACAAAGTTATGGTATGGCAGAAGTAGAACGCTGAGTAGAGACTCTGTGTTCCCAATCATTATTTCTACCACCAGCTTTCTATTTTGATGTTAATAATGTTCTTATGTGGGAAACCCTACATATTTGCTAATGTTTAGTTCATTGACAAAGAAATAGAAAGAGCTTCAAGAACACTCTAATCTTTAAAAAATAAAATACCTATAATTGGCCATACGAAACAATTGGTACTTGACATATACTGAGATCGCTTTATTTTGTGCTAGACAAATGAAGTCATAGAACAGAATGTGCTTTAAATATTATGAATAGTGCTTGCATGTGTGTGTGTCTATAGATGCATATTAGGCCGCTGAAAAGTTTTATTATTCTTTCCAGGAGAGAGACTGCCAACTTTTGAACCTAACTACAACAAGTATATTGTTTCTTCATATTTTTATTAAGGCAAAGAGAGTCTAGTTAAAAATAATTCAACTTATCATGGAAATGCTATAAATTGCTGTGAAGTGAGTTGCTGGCTATGGCTTGTCAGAGCAAATATGTTGTAGAAATCTTAGGGGAGAATTAGTGCTTGTGCATTAAAATCAAATCATCTTGCAGCACACTGAGAAAAAGGTTAGATTTTTAAAATAATTTCAAAGTCATGAAAAGAGCAAATATGCTCCACAAAGAGCCTAGCAACCCTCAATGACCAATGCCCCTTTTATATGTTTGATATCTGAATTAGAATCCCAGAATCTACAAATTCCTCTGGGTGTGGGTGCTGCATTTTGAGGATTTTATAACACTGCCATCACCAAGCTCTCTTTTGATATTCACTTTAAGGAGATAATTTACGGGCAACCAGAGAGCATAAACCAAAGTAGATATCTATCTAGATAGCTAGATACATCTCCATATCATTGACAGGATACATTCTGGCCGAGTGTGAGTACAACCTATAGATGTGGTTGGAGAGAACAAGAGTTCCACCTGAATGGCAGATCAGGATTATTCCTTCTCATCTGCGGCAATGGCTCAATGTGTTAAGGAGAGGAGCGAGACAGCAAGAACCGCATTCATTCAGTCATACAGACCAAAAGGAGGAATGTCGCCCAGCCCTCTAAACTGACCCAGAACCCAGCTCATGTCTCAACTCCTACCTCTCCTACTTAGAAAGAAGTAACTCCACCAAAGCAGGGTTCTGGACAAATATATTTTTATTGATCATATACAAATAGATGAAGATGGACTTGGATGTTAAGAAAAATAATACTATACAAAATCGAGAGTAGACAGTCGCCCCTAGACTTAAATTAAGGGTGTGTACATTAGATAATTTAATCCAATGTATCAGGTAAAAACTTGAACAAACCTTTTGGCCTCTTCCTTAAAATTCAGGGAAGCATGTCCTCCAAAAAACAGAATCAAAATATACATAAAAGATTGGCTTAAGATGAAAGGAAACCTTACAAATGAAAAGAAGCCAGATGAGAGGCACTTAACTGAGAATGAAAAGAAACTGAGTGGACAAAATAATTATGAGAAGATGAACCTTCAAATCAGAAAGAGGGCAAAAAGCTTATTTGATACTATGGGAACTCAAAAGAGAGTGAACACAAATGTGAAAATTCCAGGAGTAAAGAAAAGTAGCATAGCTAAATTAAGAGCATGAGAAAATATATACAATTTTGAGTAATAAGAACAGAAATCAAAAGTAACCATTGTATGTTATATTTTAGTAGAGCAACACTGAAGAAGAATGAAAACAAGAAATAATATTAAATATGAACATATGGAGAACAGAATAATATTTTTAAAATTTTTACTTTCTAAGCTTATCTGAAATTTTAATTTTGTTTTCTTATGTAATACCAGAGTCATTAGGAAGGTATTATCTAATAACACTATTTTCAGTGATATTTTAAGTAGTTGTCCTAGAAAAATTTTATTTTTAAAAAATGTATATTTAAAAATACATTAAATGTGTATATACATCAATCATATGTATCGATTTCTGTTTTTCTTGAATTGCAAATGAAATTTGTATTTTTGTTTTCCTGGAATAAAATAAACTTGAATGGATTGTAATATGTTATTCATGCTGTAATTCAATGTATTTGAATACTTTAAAAATGTTACGTTTATAGTTAACAGATACTGACCTATAAATTTTCTGTCATATAATGATGCTGTGAGACAATCTAAGAAGAATTAAAATTTAAATTCATGTATTCCTACTTTTTTCTCTGTTCTCTAACTGTAATATATTTTAATTACAGATGGGGGAACAGATAGATGTTAGATAAATAGATATATAATAGATCATCCAAAATTCTTATTCTTATGGTTTTATGTAGTCAGTATTTACCTCTATTTTTCTACATGTTTATCCTTCCAATTTAGTTCATTACTTTCTGCACCTTTGATGTCATATATATAAACAGGAAATAACACATGGTGGCCGGGATGTAGAGAGAGCCACAGGACTTGTGAATAAAATCCACAGGCAAGGATGTGGCGATTCCTTTTGCAATATTGGAGGGAATGCCAAACCCTATGTTTGCTGTGGAAAAGAGTACGGTAGTTCCTCAAAACATCAAAATGGTATTGCCTTATGATTCGGCAGCCCCACATCTCAAGATAGCAAAAGAATTGAAAGCAGAGTCTTGAAAAAATATTTGTACATTCATGTTTGCAGCAGCATTATTGGCAATAGCTAAAACGTAGAAGCAATGGAAGTGTCCTACTACAGATGAATGGATAAGCAAAACATGATATATACATACAATGGAAAATTATTCAGCCTTAAACATGAGGGAAATATTCTGACATATGTTGCAACTTGGATGAAACTTGAGGATATTATGCCAAGTGAAATAAGTTAGTCAGTGAAAGACAAATACAGTATAATTCCATTTGTATAAGAGACTTAAAGTGGACAGAATCATAGAGGTAGTACAATGATGATTGCCAGAAGCTGGGGGGAGGAAGACATGGGGAAGTACTGTTTAATGGGTATAGAGTTTCAGTTTCACAAGATGAAACGAGTTATGGAGATGGATGGTAGGGATGGCTGCACAATGTTATGACTCTATTTAGTACCACTGAACTGTACACTTAAAATGGTTAACAGAGTACATTTTATGTTATGTGTATTTTACCACAATAAAAAATAAAACACCTTAGGAACATTTTCCTGAAATAGTCCACATAAAATTCATTTTAATGCATGTGTTTATGCATAGCTTTCTATTTTTCTCTTTTCTATTTATATTCCAAATTAGAATATAATGCTAATCAAGCATAGTGGCTGTGTTTCTTGCTTCCTCTAGTCTGCAGGCAGCATACAAATGTAATAAACTACTCATTAATGTCACATCTATTTATTTTCTGTCTTATACCAAGCTTGTGGGATTCTCTTAAATACAACATTTTTATACTTACACCTATGCAATACCCATTAGCATCGCCTTCCTAAATCAGGGGAAATTGAGTCTCTGTAAGGTGCAGTAACTTACTAAGATACAAAACTCAGCATTAAAGTCTGTATACTTCAATATCCTGCCCTCTTCTCATTTGTCTTTACTGCCTTTTATGTATGTGTTAGATGTTCAATAAATTCTCTTTTATAAACTGAATTTAAGCAGTGGAGCAGTGTTTTGTTGAACAATAAATATGATATAGGACACTCTTCCTCCCTTTCATTTATGATGCAGTTCATGAAAAAGAGAAATCCTTTCATTGTGCTAGAAGCTTAAAATAATGAAAATGCCACCTTCTACATTAAACAGAAACTGAAGGGAATCAAGATGAATTGGATGAGACATAGAAAACAAGTGGGAAATAAATCTAGTATAATTTCCCCTTTGTGTACCTTTGTTATTTTGCATTTGAGAAAACGTTTCCCCCAAATATCTTCCCATTTTAATTCATGTCTCTAAAGTAGACATTTATGTCTCACCTTGTCAAGAAGGGCAAACTCTAACATATACATTTCCCAAAAATGCTTCCTGCTAAAACAAGCTCAGTCTGGCTAGAAATTAAGCTCACTTCATAAAAATTAGTTGGTAGCTAATCTTTGCATGCTGTTCTCTGAATTTGAGTGAAAGCTGTCCATCAGGCATACAGGGAATGACGGAAAAGGTGACAACAGAAGATGAATGCTATGTCACTAACCTTCAAAGATGACCTGCCTTTTCTTTCAAATTCTTGATATCTTAAGACTTCATTAATTCATCTCTCTTTGCCCTTGGTTCAACATTGTGCTATGCCAAAAGTCATGTAAAACAATGATCTATTGTAATAAAAATGGCATTTTTCTTTCATGTAGATGCAAGCTATCTGTCATTTTTACAATCAACATACTTCCGTTGTCAATTTTTCATTCTGGATTGGAACTAATTGATAGGTATTTCTGAAGGGATGAAGGTGTTTCTGCGTTCATTGTGATCCAAACGTTTTTTAGACCTAGTGGTGTTTGTAAAACAATTTGTGCCAGCTGACCAAGGACCACTGTGGCAGAAAGCAGCAAACTTGCATAAGATGTCGCAGCCTCATCAGTTTGCTTTGAAAACTAGGGGCTTATTCTATAGTCCTATGAATCAAAGACATTGATAGATGTAGTATAAGATTACAATCATATTTTCCTTTTGACAGTCACATTATAAAGCATGATGTATTGCAATTAATCTCAATTAGCTGATGACAATTAAAATTAATAGTTTATTATTGCTGATAAACAATCATGACTCTCCTGTTCTCAAATGTGCAAGGAATTCTTGTAATTTTAAAACAAATTTGCATATTATTACTAATTGATTTAATCTCATTGAATTGGTTCATGGATCCAATTTATTAAAATATTGATAATGGGATAATGATTTGTCTCTCCATTTCATTTACACTAAAAGACACAATTCTTACAATAGTCTGCAAGCCCATCGTGATCTGCCGCATGTTAACCGCCAAAATTCTTTTATGTCTTCACCCTTGATCTTACCAGTGGTCCTGGCCACCTCACTGTCCTCTGGACATGCCAACATGCTGCTGTCTTATGACCAAGACTCTAGTTAATTTCTTGGCTTTGAAAGATAATCTTCCATATATCCATTGATCAGCTCATTCAACTTCCTCAAGTCTTTACTGAAACCTCACATTCTCGATGAGACCTATTCAGTATTTCAAACTGCCTCCCAGCTGCAACAGTCCAAAACCCCTTACTCTTCTGTGTATTTTTGAAAGGATTTATTGAGATATAATTTACATACTGTAGAGTGCACATATTAATGTCTACAAGTCAATGGCTTTTAGTATATACACAGATAAGTGGAGCCATCATCACAATGAATTTTAGAGCATTTTCATCACTTCAAAAAGAAGCCTCACCTTCTCTAGCTGTTAACCTCCTATGCGCTCATCCCCTACTCAATCCTAAGCAACCACAAATCTGTTTTCTGTCTCTGTAGATCTTCCTATTCTATTTTCATCTAAATAGAATCATACAATAGGTGGCCTTTTGTGCCTGGCTTCTTTCAGTTGGCATAATGCTATCAAGGTTCATATGCGTATTTTTAAATACCGCTGTTAAAATACTTGTGTACAATTTGTGTTTGAACACCTCTTTCCAATACTCTGGGGGTATACCTGGGAATACATTTCTGGGTCATATGACAATTCTGTTTAATATATTTAGAAGCCATCAACCTATTTTCCAAAGTGGCCAGTTCTAGCTATAGTGTATCTAACTGTGGTTTTGATTTGTAGTTGCCTGATGAGTGATGCTGTTGAGTATCTTTTTATGGGATTATTGACCATTCGTGTATCTTCTTGGGATACACATCTATTCCTATCATTTATCAGTTTTGAGTTGGGATTTTTGTTACTGAGTTAAAACAATTTTTCTATATTCAAGATACATATATATGCAGACATATAGATATTTGTTTCTCAAATATTTTATCATAATTTTTGAGCTGCTTTTTGACTTGCTTGGCTGTCCTTTGAAACACCAATGTCTTTAATTTTTAAGAAATTTTAAATATCTAATTTTTATTTTGTTGCTCATGTTTTTGGTGTTACAGCTATTTCTTTGCTAGATCCAAAATCCTGAAGATTTTCGCATATGGTTTATCCTAGCTCTTGCATGTATGTCTTTAATTCATTTTTTTTTTTTTTTTTTTGAGACGGAGTCTCGCTCTGTCACCCAGGCTGGAGTGCAGTGGCGCAGTCTCGGCTCACTGCAAGCTCCGCCTCCCGGGTTCACGCCATTCTCCTGCCTCAGCCTCTCCGAGTAGCTGGGACTACAGGCGCCCGCCACCACGCCCGGCTAATTTTTTTTTATTTTTAATAGAGACGGGGTTTCACCGTGGTCTCGATCTCCTGACTTCGTGATCCACCCGCCTCGGCCTCCCAAAGTGCTGGGATTACAAGCGTGAGCCACCGCGCCCGGCCGTCTTTAATTCATTTGAGTTAATATTTTTGTATGCTTTGGGGTAAGGGTTCCAATTTACTATTTTGCAAGTGGCGACCCACGTGTACGTTGTTGATCCAGTGTGTTCAAAGACTGTCTCTTCCTCATTGAATTGCACATGGCACCACTTTAACAATCCATTGACTATAGATACATAGTTTTATATATGGACTCTCAATTCTCTTCCATCAATCTATATATTTTACCTTCATCAGTATTGTGTTGTCTTGATTACTGATGCTTTGCCGTAAGGTTTGGAGCACGGGGGTGTGAATTATACTAATATGTTTTCTTTTATCAAGACTATTTTGGCTATTTTGAGTCCCTTACAATAACATGTGTATTTTAGAATCTGCTTGTCAGTTTCTAGACAGAAGTCTGTTGGGATACTTGCAGGGATTACGTCAAATCTGTAGTTCACCTTGTAAAGTACTACAATATTAAATCTTCCAGTTCACAAGTGGAAGATGTTTGCTAATTATTCAGATATTCTTTAAACAATAATTTTTAATTTTCAGAGTAAAATCTTGTATCACATTTTCCAAATTAATTATTATTTCTTTTTTTGATGCTATTTTAAATTGAAGTGTTTTCTTAATTTCATTTTGGGGTTTTCATTGAAGATGTGTGCAATTGATTTTTGTACATTTATCTTGTATGCTGTAATATTGCTGAAATAATTTACTAGTTCTATCGTTCAATGGATTCCTTAAAATTTTCTATATAGAAGAATGTTATTTTCAAATAAAGTTTTATTTCTTCCTGTTCAATATGGGTGACTCTTTTTTTTTAGTTGCTGATTTGCCCTGCATAAAATCTTTAGTACAGTGTTGACTAGAAGAGGTCAAAGTATATATCCTATTCTTATCTCTGACCATAGCAGGAAAGCATCCTTTACCATTAAGTTGCATGCTTGCTGTTGGCTTTTCGCAGGTGCCATGTATCTGGTGTAGAAAGTTCTCTATTCCTGGTTCATTGAGTTTCTATTTTTATTTTTAATCATTAAAGCATTTGGATTTTGTTAAACGTCTTTTCCAAATCTATCGACATGATCATGCAATTCTCGTTTCTTATTCTATGGATAAGATGTATTACCTTAATGGATTTTGGGCTGTTAAACCAACCTGAGATTACTAGTATACATTTCACTTTGTTGTAGTGTATAATTCTTTTATATGTTGCTAGATCTGATTTGTTAGTATTTTTTAAGGAATTTTGCATTTATACTTATAGTAGTTTTATTTTTCTATGCTATTTGGACTAATTTTTGTATCAAGGTAACACTGGCCCCATAGAATAAATTGGGAAGTGAATATTTCTCTTTTTAAAAAAAGTCAGTCAAGAATTAATATCAATTAGTCAATACTAACAAATATGATTAATATTATAAATTATTGATTTCTCTAATTTTTATTTTCTTCCTTCTGCTTGCTTTAGGTTTAGTTTCCTATTCTTTCCAGTGCCTTAATGTGGAAGGCCATCTTATCTCCTCCTTTCCTTTGTCTTTTCATTTTCGAAATAGTGTCTTTTTAGCATCAGGTGAGCTCCCCAGGTTGGTAGTACTCCATGTTTATTGCTGTACAACAATGACAGTTAATATGTCCTGAAGACAATGGAAACTTATCATTCAAAATCTCCTAGATTCCACCTTATGTGTTATGTCTCTTCCTTTGATTGGTCCTAATTTCTACCCTTTCTTTATTATAAACCATGAGTACAATGGCATTCAATGAGTTCTGTGAGTCTTTTTAGTAAATTCTTGAAACTGAGGGTGTTCTCGGGAAACCCCTGAACTGGCAGTTGGTGACAAAAGTGCGAATCATCTTATATGGCCTCTTCCTTTGAACTTTGTAGCTGGACCCAAACTCTGCACAATTTGGGCCAGAAGTCTCGTGTTGACTTTGCAGCCTAAATTATCTTGTAGTTTGTCTAACCCTCAATAAATTTGCTTTCATCAAATATTGTATTTGTTACCCCAAAATTACAATCATGTTTCTTTTCTCCAAATAACTAACATTGGGAGAAATAGCCAGCTGAATCTGTAACTCAACAGAAACAAGTGATCCATATACCATATAAGTGGCCATTTCATTTTGCCTTCTTCCACCAAATCTTAGCAACCTCAACCATTGCCATGAGCCACTGTAGGCCTACCGTCTACAAACAAACAAGTATCTTTTAAAAACATTTCATACTCCCATTTGATAAATTTCCCAGCAAAGAGATGCTTACTTTAACTCTATGCAAGTGGCTCATATTCGCAAAGTCTGGAGATATTATTCATGTAGAGTGAGAAAATCATCCCAGCGAAGCCAGCACATTCTCCTTCCCATGATCTGCTTAGTTTGCAAACATATTCAGGCCGTAGGTGAGAGATTTTTATTTCACAGTACAACAATTTTATGGAGGTCATTGAAACTTAGATTTAGCATTTTAGCACAGTCACGCATCACTGAATGACAGGGATACGTTCTAACAGATGCATCCATAGGCAATTTCATCATTTTGCAAACGTCCGAGAGAATATCACAAACACCTAGTTTGTACAGCCTACCACGTTTAGGTTATATGGTATAGCCTCTCTCTCCTAGGCTACAAAACTGTGTACTACACTACTATACTGAATACTGCAGGCAATAAGAACACAGTGGTAAGAGTTTATGTATGTAAACATACTTAAACATAGAAAAGTATGTAAAAATATGTATTATAATCTCATGGGACCACTTTTGTATATGTTATCCATCTTTGACTGAAATATTATTATGCATGACATGACTCTATGACAAAAATAATACATTTTAAAAAATGGACACATGTATCAAACATATTATTATAAAAATAAAAATATTTATTCAGTGTAAGAATTTGTAATGATCACAGCTTATATTTAAGTACAGTTTCAAATGCCTAGTGCAATTACTATTTATTTCTTTGTGTATTTTAAACATGTATATAATAAATATTTTTCAGGTTCAACAATATATATCAATCCTACAGGCCCTTATATATATTAGTTAAAATCAATTGGTAAATTCATGTATATATATGCATACCTGTATCAGTGAGCGTGTGTGCATGTATGTTTGTGTAAATGTAATTGTATGTATGTGTAAATGTAATTGGATACATCCTTATATTTACCCTTACCTACAAGATTTCCAAGATTCATTTATGATCTTTAGATGATGGGCATTTAAAGATTTACCGAATACAGCTGTAATAGTGGAAAATATCAAGATGTTATTAAATTCATCTTGTGCACATAATTGTTCCTATAAATTTATGTTTCTTGCAAAACTTGCAGTAATGCTCATGCACTAAATAATTTTCTAAATAAAAATAAAAACGTTTTCTCAGTCATTAATTCTTAAAATTATTTCTCCCCAATAATTAATGTGAATTAATTCTTAATTCTTAATTATAGAATAATGTTGCCATTCAGAGTTCGGAAATTTTTACATGTTGTACACATTTCACTAACCAGAACAACTTCTGAAATATTGGCATTAATTAATGTCACTCAGCAATTATTGGTTTCAAAGGCATTAAATACCATTCATATTCTGAATCACAAGGGTACTTTGGCATCTCATTTAATCAAGCTCTTTGTGTCATAATCTACACTTTAATTACTTAACAAACATTTCTCTGTGTGAGAAAGATTGAGCAGGTTATTGTGCTTTATTAAGATGCAACTTTTGCTTAATCTAGAGATAGGCAATGCTTCCTATAAGGGACAAGGAGAAAAATAAATGAACAATAGAGATGTGACAGGCATGAAAAAAGACACTACATTTATCAAACAAATAGGGCCACGGATGAAGATAATGGGGTTCAAATCTTGAGATACTGACTCAGTTTATAACCGCTCTGTATAATAGAGCAAATCATTGGTTAACTTTTTAACAAATGGAATTTAATCTAATTAAGATGAACACAGTGTTTTAAACAAGGCAGGTCACCTTAAAATAAAATAGTGGAATAAAGTGATAAAACCAATGTAAAAATCGTAAACATTTTATAAAGAATTTTTGTCATGTAATTTAATATTTTTGTTCATTTAAAATCACCCAAATCAAAATAAATTTATCTTAATTAACAAATAATCATCAGAAGTTTAATTAATTTTTACTTTATAATACTAGGTTTAAAAATTCTTAACTATATTTCTAATCACATATGCTTATATATAAAATAGACATAGGATATATACTTACATGTTCACAATATTATGTTGTAATTGCTCCTATGGATGTGGTTTTTCAATAGAATTAATAAGTACTTTTAAAAAGTTTCAATTTCAATGATGTATATGATGGATTTTTCTTAGAGAAAGCATACATATATTGATAGGTAATAATATGAAAATCTTCTAAAGGCATTACAGGAACACGAAAATGTAATTAAATACTCACTGATTTCTAATGTTTTATGTAAGCGGAACACATTTAACTGAAAATTGTTTTTATATAATACTCAAACGAAACTAAAAACTTTTTAACCAGCAGAGTAAGTCTTCAAATTGATAATCTGAACTATATAAGAGGAGAAACTTCAGGCACTCCAATATTTGAAACGCTACAAAATATTTATATAAACTATTATTTCACAATTTCTGTTTGTAGAGTGCTATGCAGTAATCAATATAAATGACATCCCAAGTATTTCTATAGCTTCGACCACATTTACCTCCTAATTTTAATTATTAATATGTTGGAGCAGTGCATAGAACTAGATTCCGATCTTCCTTTTTAATGAGTAAAAATATGTCCTTTGAGACAGCATTAAAGAAAGAGCACCTTGTAGAAATTCAATGCCAAGAGACAAGATATTCTTGATTCTGAAGTCTTGTTATTTTATACAGCAAAGTAATTAATAAGAAGAAAAGCAGGACATAGATGTGGAGCCTATTTTAATAAAAAATTGTCTATAGATTTTGATGATTAAATTTAAAAATCTGCTATATTTATTTAGTTACAAAAAACTAGGTTGTGGGAACATATTTGGTCAATAAAACACCCCTACCAAGTGCTGACAAGAAAAAAAGTTAGGTACCACCTTTCTTCTCTGCAGATGGCTGGAGATGGGTTAATTTGAAAGAATGCTTCCAAACCTGAGGTGACCCCTGAGAACAGCATAATCCACTGCTGTCTCCCACATCCAGTTTCTCAGTTTGTGCTCTTTTAATTTTGCGGAGAGGGAAGCCAGCCCTTTAAACCAATCTTCAGCATGATGGCAGAGCCAAGGAGTGTGGACAGGTGGCACGGTGTCTGACTTTGTTCCAGCAGCCACTTGGGCTTTCTCTGAATCTTCTCTGCCCTAGGGATAGCACCACTATTGAAAACATATCTTTGTGACATTCTCTATGCCAGGAACTCCCAACACATTTTCCTTGAAACTGATGAAATGAATAAAAATAAACCAAGAGGTGTGCTCTTTGTTTCTTTTTCCTCCTTTCTGCAGCCCTTCTTGATCATCTAATATTTTAAATACATTGTCGATCACCAAAAGGAGCATAAGGGGTATATTGATTTGTAGCAGATGTATTAATAGCCCAGCCCCTATTCCTTACCTGTAGCTGCTGGGAAGAAAGCCATTCTTAACACTCTACAGGGTCTCATCTCCAGAATTTGCACCAGTTTCTAGCTGAGGACTTTCTCTAGCAGCACGGGAGTTTGATACTGGGCATGAAGTGGGAAGAAAAGGTGAGGGTAACTAAGAAGAATCTCCCTGGATTCATTGATGTAATTCTGAGGCATGTTCCACATAGCTTCCCATAGAATTAAGCCCAGATATCTAACACAGGAACATGCCTCTTAACACGTGTGGTACTGGCTTTTCTATCTTTCCTGTTTTATTTTGTTCTCTTTTCCTTGTCTCACTTTCACTGTGTCCTCACTCCTGCTTTAAGAGTACCCAAACAAATACATTCATTTATTTTTTTAGAGTCTCAGAACACAGTTGATAGTTGAACTTGTAACCTATGATAATCAGCTTGGATGCTATACTGACAGGAAGATAGTGAACTCACAATGTCTAATTAAGATAAAATTAAAAAGTATATTGATTCATGTCCAAAGATTTAAAAAACCTAAGTGGCAGTGTCACAATTTCTTCTTTTTAGTTTACATGGTTTCTTAAATGCCTACAATTGTTTTAAAGGAAGCCTTAAATCTAGGAAAAATTGAGACATGTGGAATAAATTACTAACCCATTTCTCCTTGAAATCCATTAGATGCTTGATGATTTTTCACATATATTTCTGAATTGAAAATCTAGTTGCGAATTATTTTTATAAGCATATCCTTATGTAATATTTTGTTTTTAACAGTGAATTGAAGGTTTAAAGATTAAATTATTCTATCCAGAGAATAAAAAGCAATTATTTCACAAGGAGAACATGCGTACGTTGACACGACATTTTAAAGTCTAGATTTTAAAATAGGTCCCATGTACTTTTGTGTCAATTAGAATATGTTTGTATCAGTCTGTCTACAGTTTTACACCTGTCTAAATGTACTTGAACTACAACAACTACCTTGAACAATTTTGAAATTTATGATTCCTCTGAAACTGATTAAAAGAATTATGGTAGAGTGAAATTCTGATTGACATAATTTGGGAGAGAAATTATTCCTTGGACATCAACTTCTGCCAAGATAGTTTATAATGACATTGAGGCTTTTTGATTTACACAATTTGTTATATAAAAAATACTAAGACGATGACAGATAATACACAGACTTTAATTAAAATTGTACTACAATTAAAAGTCTAAATAAATTAGAAGTGTACATGGTACATCTAAATGTATGTTTATATATTTTACTTGTGCATTTTTTTCCTGGGGTTTCTTTTGTTTTAGTTTGTAAAACGTTCTTATTTTTATGATAATGTAGCATATACTAAATAAAGCGGAATCAGGAAATAGAAAATGAAGAAGAAAACATTAGCTATTGTCAACCAAATAAAAATTGTGCAATCTCTAAGCACTTGAACTATGTAATATTAGTACAGCATAGTACAATGTTTATGCCTCACAGGGTGAGGTAGAGACTGCAAAACCTTGAACTTGGGACAAATAAGAAAGTAAGAAAATTTTCACAACTTATTAATATTATAGAAAATGCTGAATTTAACAGTTAAGATACAAGTAGTGAAAAATGATAGTATTTAAGGAGATCTAGAAAATTTAATCTATACCTGTAGTGTGTGAGAAGTATTAGAATAATGCTTGTATTTCTGGATTGGCATCGATTTCTATTGAGACTGGAAACATAATAGAAGTGAGCAAAAAAGAATTTAAATTGTGGATACTTGAGTTTTATACCTAGGAGTTCGAGAAATACATTTGTTTACTATCAAAGCAGTTGGCAAAAGAGTGTACAAAATTCCCTAATTGTGCCTATGTGGAGAAGACATAGACTAACAGAGAATAGCAAAACAGAAATAGCAAAAAAGCACAAATAAATTTTACCTGTATTTTTAAGTAAAATCCAATTAGAGAAGGAAAACATGAAATTTGTGTTTTATCAAATTTTTTCTCTTTCTCATAATATAGTTGAATATATTACTGGAAAAAATTTGAAACACTGGTATGTTCACAAATAAAAGTAAAATATAAGGTCAAAACCATGGGAATGCAGGGAGCAGACAAAATATAACTAAACACCAAAACTGATTTTGCCCTACGGACATGTAGCAAAATGAACGAGTGCAGATTCCTACTGTCATACATCACATAGGACAGTAAAGAAATACACAGTGTTTCCCAAGATAGGGCATCACACAGGAGCTCCTCCCTAAAGCTAGGACCAAAATTTCTATCCTCAGTATAAAGAAGAATCAGAGGTAAATTAGTCCCATTTCACATTCCCTGGAAATGGCAAATAAAAATGACTTGAGATTAGACAGATTTAAAGAAACTCAATCATTAATGATTTACAGCATCTAATTTAAAAATTGTTTAAATGTGCAGTCCAAACATACGTCCGAACACCTTTAGGCCAAGAATTAACATAATGTGGTCCCAGAATGGTGGTGCCTTTAGTAGAATCACAAAAAAATTCAAATTCTCTTTGGCAAATTTTCTATTTACTAATCTGCAAAAGCACACAAAAATAATTTTCAGAGAAAAATAAATATTTGTCATTCAAAGGCATCTAACTATGCAAGGAAATGATATTCCACCATTTGAAAGGAAAGCAGAAAAAGAGTACAAACAGCTCCACAAAGGTTCATTAGTAGAAATATCACTGTTAGATTATAAAGCACATTTGCTTTCAAAATTTTTTAAAAAAATGAATATATTGTTAGGAAACTAAAAAATTGATGTAGCAAATTTGAAAAGTAGTTTGTATGAAAATATAGTTATTTTAAATTAAAAACTCAAAAATGTACTCATCAGATTAGACATGGCCAAGGTGAGAGTTCATAAATATTTCAGAATGCATTACAGAAAATTTTTAAAAATGTAAAATGTGGACAGAATGATGAAGAGACATGGAAGATACAGTGAGAAAGTGTAGCATGTGTTTAGAGAGTGTTCTCATAGAAGAAGGGAACTGGGAAGGGACAATATGTGATGGTACTTTGGGTGAAATTTCCCTAGACTTTTGTAAGACACTAATCTGCATATTCAAAAATTCCATTCTTGCTAAGCAAGCTACAATGGAGATAATCCTAAACCTATGTATCTCCTAGAGAAATAGTAAACAACGAGGAAGGGAAAAATATTTCAATTAGCACTAGAAAAATGAAATTACTTTTAATCATATTGAAATCTGAAAAAAATGAAAGGTAAAATAAACAATATTATTTGTTAAGAATAATAATGCCATTCTGAATTTCTAAACAAAGAAAAATATTCATCAACCTATGGCTAAATAACATATTTAGAGATAAAAAACAAAACGCCACCAGCAGAATTCCACTAAAGAAACTACAGAGAAACTCTGAAAATATGCTTCAGAAAGGTTGAGGTTCTGAAATCAAAGAATGAACAGACAGTAAAATATATTGCAAACATAGAGATAGAACAAATAAGAAACTGGGTTTTGAAACAAAAATATATATAAAATTAGATAAGCACTGCAATATGTATGATAAAGAAAATTATTAGGGCTGAAGTATTCAAAGAACCGTTAATTGTCTGACAAGAGCAGAAAAGGGAGTATGACTTTGCAACTCTTTTTCTTTTTCGAATGGAATGGAATAGAATGGAATGGAATGGAATCGAATGGAATTGAATGGAGAGGAATGGAATGGAATGGGAGATGAGATTGTGCCATTGTGCTACAGGATGGGTGACAGAGTGAGACACTCTTGAAAGAAGGGAATGGAATGGAAACCAGTGAAATAGAATGGAATGGAATGCAATGGAGTGGAGTGGAGTGGAGAGCAGAGGAGTGGAATGGAGTGGAATGGAATCGGATGTAACTGAATGTAGTGGAGTGGAATGGAATGGAATGGAATCATCATTGAATGGAAAAGAATGGAATTATCATCGAATGGAATCAAACGGAATCATCATCGAATGAAATTGAAAGGCATCATCATGCAATGGACTTGAATGGAATCATCATCGAATGGACTCGAAAGGAATCATCATTGAATGGAATCAAATGGAATCATCATTGAATGGAAGTGAATGGAATCATCTTCGAATGGAATAGAATGGAATCATCTTCGAATGGAATAGAATGGAATCATCAAATGGAATCAAATGGAATCATCATCAAATGTAATCAAATGGAATCATCAAATGGAATCGAATGGAATCATAATTGAATGGATTCGAATAGAATCATAGAATGGTATCGAATGGAATCATCATTGAATGGAATGGAATTGAATCATCATCGAATGGAATCAAAAGCAATCATTCAATGGACTCTAATAGAATCATCGAATGGACATGAATGGAATCATCATCAAATGGAGTAGAATGGAATCATCAAATGGACACGAATGGAATCATGATCGAATGGAATCGAATGGAATCATCTAATGGACCCGAATGGAATCATCATTGAATGTAATAGAACGGAATCGTCATCGAACGGAATCGAATGGAATCATCTAATGGACACGAATGGAACCTTCTTTGAATGGAATAGAATGGAATCATCATCGAATGGAATCAAATGGAATCATCTAATGGACCCGAATGGAACCATCATCGAATTGAATAGAATGGAAGCATCATCGAATGGAATCGAATGGAATCATGTAATGGACACGAATAGAATCATCATCGAATGGAATCGATTGGAATCATCTAATGTACCCGAATTGAATCATCATTGAATGGAATAGAATGGAATCATCAATTGGAATCGAATGGAATCTTCATCATATGGAATCGAGTGCAATCATCGAATGGACTAGAATGTAATAATCGGAGAATGGAATCGAATGGAATCATCAAATGCACTCGAATGGAATCATCATCGAATGGAATCAAATGGAATCATCTAATGGACCCAAATGGAATCATCATCGAATGGAATCGAATGGAATGATCGAATGGACTCGAATGGCATCATCATCGAATGGAATGGAATAGAATCATCAAATGGATTAGAATGGAATCATAATTGAATGAAAATGAATGGAATCATCGAATGGCATCAAATGGAATCATCATTGAATGGAATCGAATGCAATGATCTAATGGACTTGGATGGAATTGTCATTGAATAGAATCAAATGGAAACATCGAATGGACATGAATGGAATCATCATCGAATGGATTCGAATAGATTCATCATCAAATGTAATCTAATAGAATCATCATCGAATGGAATCGAATGGAATCATTGAATGGAATAGAATGGATTCATCTTTGAATGGATTCAAATAGAATCATCGAATGCAACCAAACGGAATCATCATTGAATGGAAACGATTGGAATCATCATCGCATGGAATTGAATAGAATCATCATCGAATGGAATGCAATGGAATCATCGAATGGACACCAATGGAACCATCATCGAATGGAATCGAATGGAATCTTCGAATGGACGCAAATGGAATCATCATTGATTGCAATCAAATGGAATCATCATCAAATGGAATCAAAAGGAATCACCATCAAATGGAATTGAATAGAATCATCGAATGAAATGGAATGGAATAATCATTGAATGGAATTGAATGAAATCATAATCAAATGGAATCAAACGGAATCATAATCAAGGAACCGAATAGAATCATCAATGAATGAAATCGAAAGGAATCATCACTGAAAGGAATTGAATGGAATCATCAACGAATGGAAACAAATGGAATCATTGAATGGAATAAAATGTAATCATCATCGAATTGAACACAATAGAATCATTAAATGAACTTGAATGGAATCATCGATTCAACTGAAATGGAATCACCATCGAATGGAATAGAATGGAATCATCGAATGGAATTGAATAGAGTTATCATTGAATGAAATCAAACGGAATCATCAAATGGACTCGAATGGAATCATCATCGAATGGAATCGAATGGAATCATCAAATGGACTCGAATGGAATCATCATTGAATGGAATCGAATAGAATCATCATCAAATGGAATAGAACAGAATCATGTTCAAATAGAATCAAATTGAGTCATCGAATGGAATAGAAGGGAATCATTATCGAATGGAATCAAATAGAATAATCAAATGAAATCAAATGGAATCATCAACAAATGGAATCAAATGGAATCATCATCGAATGGAATTGAATGGAATCATCACTGAGTGGAATCGAATGGAATTGTCAACAAATGTAATCGAATGGAATCATCGAATGGAACCAAAAGGAATCATCATCAAATGGAAACGAATGAATCATCATCAAATGGAACCCAACGGAGTCATCATCGAATGGAATTGAATGGAATCATCAAATGGACGTGAATGGAATAATCATCAAATGGAATAATCATCGAATGGAATTGAATGGAATCACCAAACGGACGCCAATGGAATCATCATCAAATGGAATTCATTGGAATCATCTAATGGAATCGAATGGAAATATTGAATGGAATCATCTTTGAATAAAATCGAATGGAATCATTGAATGGAATATAATGCAAATGTCATCGAATGGAATTGAATGGAACCATCGAATGGAATTGAACGGAATCACCATTGAATGGAATCGAATGGAATCATCATCGAATAGAACTGAAAGGAATAATCGAATGGAACCGAATGGAGTCATCATCAAATGGAATTGAATGGAATCATTTAATGGACACGAATGGAATCATCACCAAATGGAATTAAATGGAATCATCGAATGGACTCGAAAGGAATCATCATCGAATATGATCGAAAGCAATCATCAAGTGGGTTCGAATAGAATGATCAAATGGACTCGAATGTAATCATCATCGAATGAAATCAAATGGAATCATCGAGTGGACTTGAATGCAATCATCAATGAATGGAATTGAATGGAATCATCGAATGGAATCGAATTGAATCATCATCATATGTAATTGAATGGAATCATCGAATGGACTCGAATGGAATCATCATCCAATAGAATTGAATGGAATCATCGAATGGACTTGAAAGGAATCATCATCAAATGGAATCGAAAGGAATCATCGAATAGAATTGAATGTAATTATTATCAAATGAAATCGCAATGAATCATCGAATGGACTCGAATGGTATCATCACCTAATGAAATCGAATGGAGTCACCGTCTGGACTTGAATGGAATCATCATCGAATGGAATGGAATGGAATCATCAAATGGATTAGAATGGAATCATCATCGAATGAAATCGAATGGAATCAATGAATGGAATGGAAGGGAATCATCTTTGAATGGAATCAAATAGAATCATCAAATGAAATCAAATGGAATCATCATTGAATGGATTCGAATGGAATCATTATGGAATGGAATTGAATAGAATCATCATCAAATGGAATGGAATGGAATCATGGAATGGACACGAATGGAATCATCATCGAATGGAATTGAACGGAATCATCGAAAGAACTCAAATGGGATCATCATCAAATGAAATCCATTGGAATCATCAAATGGAATTGAATGGAATTATCGAATGGAATCGAATGGAATCATCTTTGAATAAAATCAAATGGAATCATCGAATGGAATGGAATGCAATCATCATCAAATGGAATCAAATGGAACCACACAATGCAATCGAATGGAATCACCATTGAATGGAGTCGAATGGAATAATCATTGAATAGAATCTAAAGGAAACATCAAATGGAATCAAATGGAACCATCCTCAAATGGAATTGAATGGAATCAACGAATGGAACTGAATGGAATAATCATCGAATGCAATTGAATGGAATCATCATCGAACGGTATTGATTGGAATCATCAACGAAAGGAATACAATGGAATCATCATCGAATGGAATCAAATGGAATCATCAAGTGGCCTCTAATGGAATCATCGAATGGACTCGAATGGAATCATTATTGAATGGAATCAAATGAAATCATCATCGAATGGAATCAAATGGAATCATCAAATGGAATCGAATGCAATCATCATCAAATGGAATCAAATGGAATTATCATCGAATGGAATCAAACGGAATCGCCACTGAATGCACTCGCATGGAATCATCATCGAAAAGAATCAAAAGGAATCAACGAATGGACTCAAATGGAATCATCGTCGAATGGAATCGAATGGAAGCCTCAAATAGAATCAAATGGAATCATCAAATGAAATCGAACGGAATCATCATCCAATGGAAACAAATGGAGTCATCAAATGAAATCGAATGGAATCATCATCCAATGGAATCGAATGGAATCATCGAATGGAATCGAAGCAATCATCATCAAATGAAATCAAATGGAATCATCGAATGGAATGGAATGGAATCAATGAATGGAATTGAATGCAATCACCAATGAATGGAATTGAATGGAATCATCCTCGAATGGAAACGAACGGAATCATCGAATGGACTTGAATAGAATCATCATCGAATGGAATCGTGTGGAATCATCAAATGGGCACGAATAGAATAATCATCAAATGGAATCGAATGGAATCATCTAATTTACTCGAAGGGAATCATTATTGAATGCAATAGAATGGAATGATCGAATGGACTCGAATGGAATCATCATCAAATGGTATCGAATGGAATCATTGAATGGACTTGAATGGAATAATCTTCGGATGGAATTGAATAGAATCATCATCGAATTGCATCGAATGGAAACATCATCGAAAGGAATCTAATGGGATAATGGTATGGAATCAAGGATTGGACTCAAATGGAATTATCCAATGGGCTCGAATATAATCATCGAATGGATTCGAATGGAATCATTATTGAATTGAATCAAATGGAATCATTAAATGGAATCTAATGGAAACATCAAATGGAATTGATCGGAATCACCATCGAATGGAATCAAATGGAATCATAGAATGGAATCCAATGTAGTCATCATCGACTGGACTTGAATGGAAACATCATCGAATGGCATCAAATGGAAATATCATCGAATGGAATCTACTGGGATAATGGTATGGACTCGAATGGAATCATCGAATGGAGTTGAATGGAATCATCATCGAATATAATCTAATGGAATCATCGAATAGCATCAAATGGAATCATCGTCGAATGCAGTCGAATGGAATCATCAAATGGACTGGAATAGAATCATCATGCAATGTAATCGAATGGAAACTTCGAATGGACCCGAATTGAATCATCATCAAATGCAATCAAATGGAATCATCATCGAATGGAATCGAATGAAATCATCATCGAATGGAATCGAATAGAATCATCCAATGGAATAGAATTGATGCATCATCAAATGGAATCAAATGGAATCATCACCAAAAGGAATCGAAGAGAGTCTTCGAACGGAGTCCATTTAATTCCACATTCGATTGATGATGATTCCTTTCGATTCCATTTGATGATGATTTCTTTCAATTCCACTCAATGATGTTTGCATTCGATTCCATTTGATGATGACTGCATTCAGTTCCATTCTATGATGATTCCAACGGATTCCATTCGATTTCTCCATTCGATTCCATTCATTGATGTTTCCCTTCGATTCCATCAGATGATAATTCCATTAGATTCCATTCAATGATGATTCCATTAGATTCCATTTGATGATTCCATGCGATTCCATTCAATGATGATTACATTCGTGTCCATTCGATTATTCCATTTGATTCCATTCGATGATAATTTCATTCGAGTCCATTCAATGATTCCATTCAAGTCCATTCCATGATTCCTTTTGATTCCATTCAATGATGATTCCATTTGAGTCCATTCGATGATTCCATTCAATTCAATTCAATGATGATTCCATTCGACTCAAGTCAATCATTCCATTTGATTTCATTTGATGATGATTGCATTCAATTCCATTTGATGATTCCATTCGAGTCCATTCAATGTTTCTGCTTGATTCCATTTGATGACACCATTCGATTCCATTCAATGACGATTCCATTCGAGTCCATTCAATGGTGATTCCATTCAGTTCAATTTGATGGTGAATCCATTGGATTCCATTCAATGATTCTATTCTGTTCCATTCGCTGATGATACCATTTGATTCCATTCGATGATGTTTCCATTCGATTCCCTTCTTTCATGATTCCATTAGATTCCATTCAATGATGATTCCATTCGAGTCCATTCAATGATTCCATTTGATTCCATTCAGTGATGATTTCATTTGATTCCATTCGATGATTCCATTCGAGTCCATTAGATGATTCCATTTGAGTCCATTCGATGACACCATTCGATTCCATTAGATCATGATTCCATTCGATTCCATTTGATCATGATTCAATTCGAGTCCACTCGATGATTATATTCGGTTCCATTTGATGATGATTCCATTGTATTCCATTCAATAATTCCATTCGATTCCATTTGTTGATGATTCCATTTGATTCCATTCGATGATGATTGCATTCGGTTCCATTCGATATTTCCATTCGAGTCCATTCGATGATTCCATTGGACTCCATTTGATGATGATTCCATTCAATGATTCCATTTGATTCTGTTCGATGATGATTCCATTCGATTTCGTTTGATGCTTATTCCTTTCAATTCCATTCAATTATTCCATTCGATTCCATTTGATGATTCTATTCGATTACATTCAATGATGATTCCATTCGATTCCATTCGATGTTTCCATTCGATTCTATTCGATGATGATTCCATTCAATTCCATTCAATGATGACTGCATTCGGTTTCATTCGGTGATTCCACTTGAATCCATTTGATGAGGATTCCATTTGATTCCATTCAATGGTTGCATTCGATTCCATTCGATGATGATTCCATTCGAGTCCATTCAATGATTCCATTTGATTCCATTCAATGATGATTCCATTTGACTCCATTCGATGATGAGCCATTCGATTCAATTTCATGATGATTCCATTGGATTGAATTTGATGATGATTCCAATCGAGTCCATTCGATGATGATTCCATTCGAGTGCATTCGACGATGATTCCATTTGAGTCCATTCGATGATGATTCCATTCAAGTCCATTCGTTGATGATTCCATTATATTTCATTCGATGCTTCTCTTCGATTCCATTCGATGATGATTCCATCTGTTTCTGTTCGATGATTCCATTCCTTTCCATTCAGTGATGATTCCATTCGATTCCATCTGATGATGATTTCATCTGATTTCATTCAATGATATTTCCATTTGATTGCATTCAATGATGATTCCAATCGAGTCCATTTGAAGACTCCATTTGATTCCATTCGATGATGATTCCATTCGAGTCCCGTCAATGACTCCATTCGATTCCATTGGATGATCCCTTTCAATTCCATTTGATGATTCCATTCGATTCCATTCGATGATCTTTCCATTCGATTCCATTTGATGATTCCATTCGATTCCATTTGTTGATGATTCCATGCGATCACATTTGATGATGATTCCATTCGATTCCACTCGATGACAATTCCGTTCAATTGCAGTCGATGATGATTCCATTCGAATCCATACGATGATACCATTCGATTCCATTCGATGATTCCGTTCGATCCCATTTGATGATTCCCTTTGATTCCATTCGATGATCATTCCATTAGATTCCATTTGATTATGATTCCATTCAATTCCATTCGATGATGATTTCATTCAATTCCATATGATGATGACTCCATTAGGTTCCATATGATGATGATTCCATTGTGTTCGATTTGATGATGTTTCCATTGGATTCCATTTGGTGATGATTCCATTCGATTCCATTTGATGATGATTCAATTGGATTTCATTCTGTAATTCTATTCGATTCCATTAAATGATGATGCGTTTCTATTCCATTCTATTATTCCATTCGAGTCCATTCGATGATGATTCCATCGGAGTTCATTCGTTGATATTTCCATGGAATCCATGATTCCATTCGAGTCCATTCTATCATTCCATATGAGTCCATTTGATGATGATTCCTTTTGAGTCCATTCGATGATTCCATTCGATAGTTCCATTTGAGTCCATTCAATGATTGCTTTTGATTCCATTCGATGATATTCCATTCGACTCCATTCGGTGATTCCATTCGATTCCATATGATGATGATTCCATTCGTGTCCATTCGGTGATTCCATTCGAATTCATTCAATGATGATTCCTTTCGAGTCTATTAGATGATTCCGTTTGATTCCATTTGATGATGATTTCATTCGAGTCCATTCAATGATTCCATTCGATTCCATTCGATGATGATTCCATTCGACTCCATACAATGATTCCATTCGAGTCCATTCTATGATGATTCCATTCATTTCCATCTGATCGTCCATTCCAATTGAATGGAATTATCCCATTCTATTTGATTCCATTTGATGATGATTCCTTTCGATTTCATTCGATGATTCCATTCGATTCCATTGATGATGATTGAATGAGAGTCCACTCAATGATTCCATTTGTGTCCATTTGATGAATCAAGTCGAGTCCATTAGACGATGATTCCATTCGATTCTATTCGATGATGATTCCAATCGATCCCATTCGATGATGATTCCATGTGATTCCAATCGATGATGATTCTATTAGGTTTCATTTAATGATGATTTCATTCGGTTCCATTGGATGAAGGCTCCATTCCATTCCATTCGATGATTCCATTCGTTTCCATTCGTTGATGATTCCATTCGATTCCATTCAATGAAGATTGCATTCGATTCCATTTGATGATGATTCCATTCAAAACCATTCTATGATTCCATTCGATACCATTCAATGATGATTCCATTCGATTCCATTTGATGATTCCACTTGATACCCTTCGATGATGATTCCTTTCCTTTCCATTTGATGATTTTTCCATTCAATTCCATTGATGATGATTGAATGAGAGTCCACTCAATGATTCCATTCGTGTCCATTTGATGAATCAAGTCGAGTCCACTAGACGATGATTCCATTCGATTCTATTCAATGATGATTCCATTCGATTCCATTCGATGATGATACCATTAGGGTTCATTTGATGATGATTCTGTTCGGTTCCATTGGATGAAGACTCCATTCCATTCCATTCGATGATTCCATTCAATTCCATTCGTTGATGATTCCATTCGATTCCATTTGATGATGATTTCATTTGATTCCATTCAATGATGATTCCATTCGAAGATGATTCCATTCGATTCCACTTGATGATAATTCCATTTGATTTCATTAGATGATTCTATTCCATTCCATTTGGTGATTATTCCATTTGATTCCACTGATAATGATTGCATAAGATTCCATTCAATGATTCCATTCGTGTCCATTTAATGCTTCCATTCAAGTCCATTCGAGGATGATTCCATTCAATTCTATTCGATGATGATTCCATTCGAGTCCATTCGATGATTCCATTTGATTCCATTCGATGAGAGTTTCATTCCAGTCCATTAGATGATTCCATTTGATTCATTTCGATTATGAATCCATTTGATTCCATGTGTTGATTTGATCAGATTCCATTCAATGATGATTAAATTCGTGTCCATTCAATGATTCTATTCAAATCCTTTAGATGATTGCTTTTGATTCCATTCGATGGTGATTCCATTCGATTCCATTTGATGATGATTGCATTCAAAACTATTCTATGATTCCATTCGATACCATTCGATGATGATTCCATTCGATTCCATTTGATGATTCTATTCGATTCCATTCGATGATGATTCCTTTTGATTTCATTCAATGATTCAATTCGATTCCATTCAATGATGATTCCACTCGATTTCATTCTATGATTCCATTCGATTACCTTCAATGATGATTCCATTCCATTCCTTTCGATGATTCTATTTGGTGAAGATTCCATTCAATTCCTTTCGATGATTCCATTTTATTTCATTCGATGATGTTTCTATTCAATTATTCCATTCAATTCCATTCAATGTTGATTCCAATTGAGACCATTCGAAGATTCCTATCTATTCCATTCGATGATGATTCAATTAGTGTACATTTGATGATGATTCCATTCGATGATGATTCCTTTTGATTCCATTCGATGATGACTCCATTAGGTTCCATTTGATGATGATTCCATTTTATTTCATTCAATGATTATATTCGATTACCTTCAATGATGATTCCAATCCATTCCATTCGATGATTCTGTTCAATGAGGATTCCATTCGATTCCTTTCAATGATTCCATTCGATTTCATTCGATGATGTTTCTATTCGATTATTCCATTCAATTCCATTCAATGTTGATTCCATTTGAGACCATTTGAAGATTCCTATCGATTCCATTCAATGATGATTCCATTAGTGTACATTCGATGATGATTCCATTAGTGTACATTCGATGCCAATTGAAGATTTTTCCATTCAAGTCCATTCGATGATACCATTCGATACCATTCATTGATGATTCCATTCGAGTGCATTTGATGATATCATTCGATTCCATTTGATGATGATTCCATTCGAAGATTCCATTCAATTCCATTCTATGATCATTCCATTCGAGTCCATTTGATGATTCCATTGGACTCCATTTGATGATGATTCCATTCAATGTTTCCATTTGATTTGATTTGATAATGATTCTATTCGATTTCGTTTGATGTTGATTCTATTCAATTCCATTTGATCATTCAATTTGAGCCCATTCAATGATTCCATTTGATTCCATTTGATGATTCCATTTGATTGTATTCAATGATGATTCCATTCAATTCCATTCGATAAGGACTGCATTCTATTCCATTTGATGATTCCATTCAATTCCATTAGATGATGATTCCATGCGATTCCATTTGATGATGACTCCTTTTGTTTCCATTTGATGATGATTCCATTCGGTTCCATTCGTTGCTGATTCCTTTGGATTCCAATCCATGATGATTCCATTCTACTCCATTTGTTGATGACTCTTTTCGATTCCTTTCAATGATGATTCCATTTGATTCCATTTGATGATGATTCCATTCGATTCAATTCAATGATTCCATTCGATTCAATACGATGATGATTCTTTTCGAGTCCTTTCGATGATTCCATTTGAATCCATTCGATGATGATTCCATTCGATTTGATTCAATGATTCCATCTGATTCCTTTCAATGATTATTCCATTCGAGTCCATTCGGTGATTCCTTTCAATGCCAATTGATGATGATTCCATTCGACTCCATATGATGATTCAATTCGAGTCCATTCGATTATTCCATTAGATTCCATTCGATGATGATCCCATTCGATGCTATTCAGTGACTACATTCGATTCCTTTCAATGATGATTGTTTTCATGTCTATTCGAATATTCCATTCGATTCCATTGAATTATGATTTCATTCGAGTCCATTCGATGAAGATTTCATTTGTGTCCATTCGATGATGATTCAATTCTATTATATTCGATGATTCTATTCGATTCCATTCGATGATGTTTCCATCTGATTCCATTCAATCAATCCATTCAAATCCATTCTATGATTATTCCATTCGTTTCCATTTGATGATGATTCCATTCGATTCCATTCAATGATTCCTTTTGATTCTATTCAATGATGATTCCAATCAATTCCATTTGATGATTCCATTCGAATCCATTTGATGATGAGTCCATTCACTTCAATTCCACGATGATTCCATTTGACTCAATTCGATGGTGTTTCCATTCGATTCCATTCGATGTTGATTCCATTGGATTCCATTGGATGATTATTCCATTCGAGTCCATTTGATGATGATTCCATTCGATTTCATTCGATGATTCTATTTGATTACATTCGATGATGATTCCATCTGACACCATTTGATGATTCCATTCGATTCCATTCGATGATAAGTCCATTCACTTCCATCCAATAATGATTCTATTCGATTCCATTTGATGATTATTCCATTCGAGTCCATTCAATGATTTCATTCGATACCATTCAATGATGATTCCATTCGAGTCCGTTCAATGATTCCATTCAACTCCATTCAATGATTCTATTCAATTCCATCTGATAATTCCGTTCAATTCGATATGATGATTATGCCAATTAAGTCCATTTGATGATTATTCCATTTGATTCTATTCGGTGATTCCTTTCGATTCCATTTGATAATGATTCCATTCGAGACGATTCAATGATTCCATTCATTTCATTTGAGGATGATTGCATTTAATTCCATTCAATGATTCCATTAGATTCCATTTGATAATGATTTCATTCGATGATGATTCCTTGCGATTCCATTTGATGATGACTCCTTTCGCTTCCATTCGAAGATGATCCCATTCGGTTCCATTCGATGATTATTCCTTTGGATTCCATTCAATGATGATTCCATTTGATTACATTCGATGATGCTTCTATTCGATTCCATTCGATGATTCCACTCGATTCCATACAATGATGATTCCATTCCAGAACCTTCAATGATTCAATTCGATTCCATTCGATGATGATTCCATTTGATTCCATTCGAAGATTCCATTCGATTCCTTTCAAAGAATATTCAATTCGAGTCCATTCAGCGATTCATTTCAAAGCCAATTGAAGATTTTTCCATTCGAGTCCATTCGATGATACCATTTGATACCATTCATTGATGATTACATTCGAGTGCATTTGATGGTACCATTCGATTCCATTTGATGATGATTCCATTCGATGATTCCATTCAATTCCATTCTATGATCATTCCATTCGAGTCCATTTGATGATTCCATTGGACTCCATTTGATGATGATTCCATTCAATGTTTCCATTTGATTCGATTTGATAATGATTCTATTCGATTTCGTTTGATGCTGATTCTATTCAATTCCATTTGATCATTCAATTTGAGCCCATTCAATGATTCCTTTCGATTCCATTTGATGATTCCATTTGATTCTATTCAATGATGATTCCATTCAATTCCATTCGATAAGGACTGCATTCTATTCCATTTGATGATTCCATTCAATTCCATTGGATGCTGATTCCATGTGATTCCATTCGACGATGACTCCTTTTGTTTCCATTCGATGATGATTCCATTCAGTTCCATTCGTTGCTGATTCCTTTGGATTCCAATCCATGATGATTCCATTCTACTCCATTTGGTGATGATTCTTTTCGATTCCATTCGATGATGATTCCGTTTGATTCCATTCAATCATGATTCCATTCGATTCAATTCAATGATTTCATTTGATTCAATACGATGATGATTCCAATAGAGTCCATTTGATGATTTCATTCGAGTCAATTCAGTGATTCCATTTGAGTTCATTTGATGATTCCATTTGATTCCATTCGATGATGATTCCCCTAGATTCCATTTGTTGATTCAATTCGAGTCCATTCGTTAATTCCATTCAACTCCATTCGATGATTATTCCATTCGATTTCATTCAATGGTTCCATTCAATTCCATTCTATGATGATTCCATTCGATTCTATATGAAGATTCCATTTGATTCCATTTGATGATGTTTCCATTCGATTCCATTCGATGATCAGGCATTCGATTCAATTCCATGATGATTCTATTTGATTCAATTCCGTGATGTTTCCATTCGATTCCTTTCAATGATGATTCCATTCGATTCCATTCAACGATGATTCCATTCGAGTCCATGCAATGATTAGTCCATATGTGTCCGTTCGTTGATGATTCCATTCAATTTCTTTCAATGCTTTTATTTGATTCCAATCGATGATGATTGCATCTGATTCTGTTCGATGATTTCATTGAAGTCCATTGAGTGATGATTCCATTCATTTCCATCTGATGATGATTTCATTTGATTCCATTCGAAGATTCCATTCGATTCCATTCGATGATGATTCCATTCAAATCCATTCGATGATTCCACACGATTCCATTCGATGACTCCATTCGATCCCATTCGATTCCATTCGATGATCATTCCATTTGATTGAATTCGGTGATTCCATTCGATTCTATTAAATTATGATTCCATTCGACTCCATTTGGTGATGATTCTATTCGATTCCATGCGATTATGATTTAATTAAATTCCATTTGATTATGATTCAAGTCCATTCGTCGTGTACATTCGATTCCATTCTGTGACGATTCCACTCAAGTCCAATCGATGATTCCATTCGAGTCCATTCAATGATGCCATTAGATTCCATTCGATCATGATTCCGTTGGATGCCATTCAATGATTCCATTCGATTCCATTCAATGATGATTCCATTTGTGTCCATTCAAAGATTCCATTCGATTCCATTTGATGGTCATTTCATTCTAGTCCATTCAATGATTCCATTCAATTCCATTTGATGATGATTTCATTCTAATCCATTTGATGATTCCACTCAATTGCATTCATTGATGACTGCATTCAGTTCCATCTGATGATGATTCCAATGGATCCCATTCAATTTCTCCATTTCATTCCATTCATTGATGATTCCATTCGTTTCCATTAAATGATGATTCCATTAGATTCCTTTCGATGACGATTCCATTCAATTCCATTCAATGATGATTCCATTCGGTTCCATTCGATGATTCCATTCGATTCCATTTGATGATGATTCCATTAAGGTCCATTCGATGATTCCATTTGATTCCATTTGATGATGATTTCATTCGAGTACATTCAATGATTCCATTCAATTCCATTCAATGATTCCTTTCAATTACATTCAATGATGATTCCATTTGAGTGCATTCGATGATTCCATTTGATTCCACCGAAAGATAACTCCTTTCATGTTGATTAGATGATTCCATGTGGTTCCATGCGATGATAATTCCATCAAGTCCTTTTGATGACACCATTTGATTCCATCTGACGCTGACTGCATTCAGTTCCATTCGATGATGAATCTAAAGTCTCCATTCAATGACTCCATTTGACTCCATTAATTGATGATTCCATTCAATTCCATTCGATGATGATTCCATTCAATTCCATTCAATCATGATTCCATTCCATGATCATTCCTTTCGATTCCATTCGATGATTCCATTCGTGTCCATTCGATGATGATTCCATTCGTGTCCATTCGATGATGCCATTTGAGTCCCTTCATTGATTCCATCCGATACCATTTGATGATGATTCTATTCCAGTCCAATTGATTATTCCATTCTATTTCATTTGATGATTTCATTCGAGTCCATTTGATTATTCCATTCGAGTCTGTTCGATGATTCCATTCAATTCCATTCAATGATTATTCCATTCTATTCCATTTGATGATTCCCTTTGATTTCTTTCGATGATGATTCCATTCTATTCCATTCGATGATACCATTCTGTTCGATTCGATGATGATTCCTTTCAATTCCATTTGACGATGATTCCATTCAATTCCATTTGATAATGACTGCATTCGGTTCAATTCGATGAAGATTCCAATGGATTCCATTCGATTTCTCCATTCGATTGAGTTCGTCAATGATTCCATTTGATTGCATTAGATAATTCCATTCAACTCCATTCGATGATGATTCCTTTAGATTCCATTCCATAATTATTCCGTTCGACTCCGTTCAATGATGATTCCATTCAATTTCATTTGATGATTCCTTTCGATTCCATTCGATGATGATTCCATTCATGTTCATTCAGTCATTCCATTCGATTCCATTCAAGTCCATTCAATGTTTCCTTTCGATTCCATTCGATGATGATTCCATTCGTGTCCATTCCATGATTTCATTCGATTCCACTTGATGATTTCTTTCGAGTGCATTCGATGATTCCATTTGATTTCATTTAATGATGATTCCATTAAATTCCGTTCAATGATTCCATTCGTTTCTATTCAAAGATTATTCCATTCGAGTCCATGCGAAGAATCTATTCGATTTCATTCTATAATGATTGTGTTCAAGTCCATTTTATGATTTGATTTTATACCTGTTGATTATTCCATTCGATTCCATTCGATGATGATTCCTTTCGATTCCCTTCATTGATGATTACATTAGATTACATTTGATGTTTCCATTCGACTTCTTTTGATGATGATTCCATTCCATTTCATTTGATGGTTCCAGTGGATTCCATTCGATGATGATTCCATTCGATTCCATTTGAAGATTCCATTTGATGATTCCATTCGATGATTCCATTTGATTCAATTTGATCATGAGCCATTCAATTCAATTCCATGATGATTCCATTTGATTCAATTCGATGATGTTTCCATTCGATTCCATTCGAAGATGATTCATTTTGATTCCATTAGATGATGATTCCATTCGACTCCATTTGATGATGATTTCATTTGAATCCATTCGTTGATGATTCCATTCGATTTCAGTTGATGCTTCTATTTGATTCCATTCAACGATGATTCCATCTCATTCCCTTCAATGATTCCATTCGATTCCATTCAGTGATGATTCCATTCTATTCCATCTGATGATGATTTCATTTGATTCCATTCGATGATGATTCCATTCGAGTCCATTTGATGATTCTATTCGATTCTGCTTGATGATGATTCTATTTGAGTCCATTCGATGATTGCAATTGAGTCCATTCAATTATTCCTTTCAATTCCATTTGATGATGATTCCATTTTATTCCATTCGATGATTCCATTCCATCCCATTCGATGATTATTCCATTCGAGTTCATGTGATGATTCCATTCGATTCTGTTCGATGATGATTTCATTCGAGGCCATTCGATGATTGCATTCGAGTCCATTCAATGATTTCATTCGATTCCACTCGATGATGATTGTTTTTGAGTCCATTCGATGATTCCATTCGAGTCCATTCGATGACGATTCCATTCGAGTCCATTCAAAGATTCCTTTCGAGTCCATTTGATGATTCCATTCGATTGCACTTGATGATGATTGCTTTCGAGTCCATTCGATGATTCCTTTCGAGTGCCTTCAACAATTCCATTCAATTCCATTCGATGATGATTCCATTCGAATCCATTCAGCGATTCCATTCTGTTTCATTCGATGATTCCATTTGGTTTCATTCGATGATGATTCCATTTGAGTCCATTCGATGATTCTATTTGATTCCATTCCATGGTGATTCCATTAGATTCAATTCAATGATGATTCCATTCTATTCCTCTCGATGATGATTCCATTTGAGTCCATTCATTGATTCCTTTTGGTGGCATTCTATGGTGATTCCATTCGATTCTACTCAATGATTCCATTCTATTCCATTTGATGATGATTCCATTTGGGTCCATTCGATGATTCCATTCAAGTACATTCGATGATTCCACTGGATTCCATTCGATGATTATTCCATTGGAGTCCAGTCAGTGATTCCTTTAGATTTAACTTTCAGATGATTCCTTTCAATTCCATTCCATGATAACATTCGATTCAGTTCGTTGGTGATTCCATTCGATTCCATTTGATGATTCCATTCGATTCCATTTGATGATGATTCCATACAATTCCTTTTGATGATTCCATATGATTCAATTCGACGATGTTTCCATTCATGTCCATTTGATGATTCCATTCTTTTCCATTCGATGATGATTCTATTCGAGTATACTCGATGACTCCATTCGAATCCATTCGATGGTGATTCCATTCAAGTCGATTCGATGATTCCATTTGATCCCATTCTTTGATGATTACATTCAATTCCATTCTACGATTCCATTCGATTCCATTCGATGATTCCATTTGAGTACATTCAATGATTCCACTCGATTGCATTTGATGATTATTCCATTAGAGTCCATTTGGTGATTCCTGTGGATTCCACACGAAGGTGACTCCATTCAATTCCATTCGAGGATACCATTCGATTTCATTCACTGATGATTCCATTAGAGTGCATCCAATGATACCATTAGATTCCATTCGATGATGATTCCATTCGATTCCATTCAGTGATTCCATTTGATTCCACTCGATGATTTCATTCGAGTCAATTCGATGATTCCATTGGCCTCCATTTGATGATGATTCCATTCAGTGTTTCCATTCGATTCTATTCGATAATGATTCCATTCGATTCCATTCGATGATGATTCCATTGGATTCCATTCGATGATTCCATCTGAATCCATTCAATGATTCCATTCGATTGTATTTGATGATGATTCCATTCGATTACACTCGATGATGACTGCATTCAATTCCATTCGATGATTCAATTTGATTCCATGCGATGATGACTGTGATGAATTCCATTTGATGATTCCATTCGATTCCATTCGATAATGATTCCTTTCGAGTCCATTTGATGTTTCCATTTGAGCCCATTTGTTAATTCCACTTGATTCCAATTGAAGATTCCATTCGTTTCCATTCAATGTTTCCATTAGAGTCCATTCGATCATTCCGTTAGAGTCCATTCGATGATGATTCTATTTGAGTCCATTCTATGATTCCATTTGTGTCTGTTCGATAATTCCATTAAAATCCATTCAATTATTGCTTTCAATTCCATTCCATAATGATTCCATTTGAGTGAATTCAATGATTCCATTTGATTCCATTCGATGATGATCCCATTCATGTCCATTCGGTGATTGCACTCAATTTCATTCGATGATGATTCCTTTCTAGTCCATTCGATGATTCCATTCGATTCCATTCGATGATGATTCCGTTGGAGTGCATTCAATGATTCCCTTTGATTCCATTTGATGATGATTCCATTCGACTCCATTCAGTGATTCCATTTGATTCCATTTGATGATGATTCCATTTGAGGCCATTCTACGATTACATTCAATTCCATTTGATGATGATTCCACGTAGGTCCATTCGAAGATTCCATTTGAGTCCCTTCATTGAATCCATCCGATTACATTTGATGATGATTCCATTTGAGTCCATTCGTTGATTCCATTCGATTCCATTTGATGATTCCACTGGAATCCATTCAATTATTCCATTCGAGTCCATTCGATGATTCCATTCGATTACATTCAATGATAGTTCAATTCGAGTCCATTTGATGATGATTCTATTTGATTCTGTTAGATGATTACGCTCGATTCCATTTGATAATTCCCTTCGATTCCTTTCGATGATGATTCCATTCCATTCCATTCGATGATTCCATTTGATTCTATTCCGTGATGATCCCTTTTGATTCCATTCTATGATGATTCCCTTCGATTCCATTCGGTGATAATTCCAATGGATTCCATTCGATTTCTCCATTCGATTCCTTTCCTTGATGATTCCATTAGATTCCATTAGATGATGATGCCATTAGATTCCATTCGATGATGATTCTATTCGATTCCATTTGATGATTCCATTCAATTCCATTCAATGATGATTCCATTTGATCCAATTCGATGATGATTCCATTTGATTCCACTCGATGATGATTCCATTCGTGTCCATTCGATGATTCCATTCAATTCCATCTCATGATGATTCCATTCGAGTCCATTCAAAGATTCCATTGAAGTCTATTTGATGATTCCTTTCAATTCCATTCGATGATGATTCCATTTGAGTCCATTCGATGATTCCATTTGATTCCATTTGATGATGATTCTATTTGAGTCCATTCGATGATTACATTTGATTTCATTCGATGATGATTTCATTCGATTGCATTCGATGATACCATTCTATTCAATTCAATGATGATTCCATTCGAGTCCATTTTATGATTCCATTCGAGTCCATTTAATGATTCCATTGGGTTCAATTCGATGTTGATTAAATTGGATTCCATTCAATTTCTCCATTCAATTCAATTCATTGATGATTCTATTCAATTCCATTCTATGATGATTCAATTCTATTACATTGGATGATTCTATTCGATTCCATTTGATGGTGATTCCTTTCGATTCCATTTGATGATGATTCCATTCAATTGCATTCAATGATGATTCCATTTGAGTGCATTCAAAGATTCCATTTGATGTCATTTGATGATGATTCCATTCGTGTCCATTCGATGATTCTACTCGATTCCATTTGATGATGATTGCATTCGAGTCCCTCGATTGCCTTGATAATGATTCCATTCGAGTGCATTCAAAGATTCCATTCGATGCCATTCGATGATGTTTCCATTTGAGTCCATTCGATGATTCCATTCGATTCCATTTGATAATGATTCCATTCTAGTCCTTTCGATGATTCCATTCGATTCCATTTAATGATGTTTCCACTCGAGTCTATTTGATGATTCCTTTTGATTCCATTCAATTGTTCCCTTAGATTCCATTCATTAATGATTCTATTTGATGCCATTCAATGATTACATTCGATTTCATTTCATGATGATTCCATTAGAGTCAAATCAATGATTCCATTTGATTCCATTCGATGATGATTCCTTTCGATTCCATTCAATGATGATTCCATTCGATTTCATTCGATGATTCTCTTCGATTCCATTCAATGGTGATTCAATTCTACTTCATTGGATGAATCCATTCCATTCCATTTGATGATGATTCCATTCAATTCCATTCAATGATGATTCCGTTCGACTGCATTCAATGATGATTTCAATCGAGTCCATTCGAAGATCCCATTCGATTCCATTCGGTGATGATTCCATTCGAGTCCATTTGATGATTCCATTCCGTTCAATGATGATTCAATTCGATTCCATTAAATGATTCCTTTCGATTCCATTTGATGATGATTCCATTCGAGTCCATTCGATGATTCCATTAGTTTGCATTTTATGATGATTCCATTTGATTCCATTCGATGATTCAATGTGATTCCATTCGAAGATGATTCCATTCGTGTCCATTTGATGATTCCATTCAATTCCATTCGATGATGATTCCACTCGAGTCCATTTGATGATTCCATTCGGTTAAATTCGATTATTCCCTTAGATTCCATTCACTGATGATTCAATTCGCTGCCAATCCATGGTTCCATCTGATTCCATAGCATGATGTTTCCATTCGAGTCCATTTAATGATACCATTCGATTCCATTCAATGATGATTTCATTCGTGTCCATTCGATGTTTCCATTTGGTTCCATTCGGTGATGATTCCATTCAAGTCCATACTATGATTCCATTCGATTCCATTCGATGATGATTCCATTCGAATCCTTTCAAAGATTCTATTCGATTCCATACAATGATTCCATTCCATCCCATTCAATGATGCCCTTTGATTCCATTCGATGATCATTCCATTCAATTCAGTGATCCCTTTGGATTCCATTCGTTGATGATTCTATTTGATTCCACTCCATGATGATTCCATTCGGTTCCATGTGCTGATGATTCCATTAGATTCCATTCGAGGATTCCATGCATTTCCACTTGTTGAAGATTGCATTCAATTCCATTCAATGATGATTCCATTCGTTTCCATTCGATGATGATTCCATTCAATTTCATTTGATGATTCTATTTAATTCCGTTTGATGATGATTCCATTCTATTCCATTAGATGATTATTCTGTTCGATTCCTTTCGATGATGATTCCATTCGATTCCATTAGATGATTATTCCATTCAATTTTATCCGATGATTCTATTTGATTCCATTCTATGATGATTCCATTCTATTCCATTCGAGGATTCCATTCAATGCCATTATACGATGATTCTATTCGATTCCATTTGATGATGATTCCTTTTGATTCCATTCGATGATGATTCCATTCGTGTCCGTTAGATCACTCCATTTGACTCCATTGGATGATGATTCAATTCGATGCTATTCCATGATTCCATTCGAATTCATTTGATGATGATTCCTTTCGATTCTATTCGATGATTCCTTTCGATGATGATTCCAGTCAATGCCATCCGATGATTCCATTCGAGTCCATTTTATGATTCCATTTGAAATCATTTGATGAGGTTTCCATTAGATTCCGTTAATTTGTGATTATATTCAATTCCATTCAATGATGCCATTCCATTCCATTCATCAATGATTCTGTTAGATTCCTTTCGATGATTCCACTTGATTCCATTTGATGATGATTCCATTCGATTCCCTTCATTGATGATTCCATTCAATTCAATTCAATGATTCCATTCCATTCCATAGGAAAAATTACAATATAATATTGTGAACATGTAAACATATACCCTATGTCTATTTTATGTATAAACACACATGATTAAAAATATAGTTAAGAATTTTTAAACCTAGTATCATAAAGTAAAAGTTAGTTAACTTCTGATGATTATTTGTTAATTAAGATAAAATTATTTTGATTTGCATGATTTTAAATAAAGAAAAATATTAAATTACATGACAAAAATTCTTTTTAAAATGTTTATGACTTTAACATTGGTTTTATCACTTTATTCCACTATTTTATTTTAAAATAACCTGCCTTGTTTAAAACAATGTATTCATCTTAATTAAATTAAATTCCATTTGTAAAAATATTAACAAGTGATTTGCTCTATTGTACAGTGTGGTTATAACCTGAGTCAGTATCTCAAGATTTGATCCCCATTATCATCATCTGTGGCCCTATTTGTTTTATAAATGTATTGTCTTTTTCCATGCCTGTCACATCTCTATTGCTCTTTCATTTTTCTCTTTGTCCCTTATAGGGAGCATTGCCTATCTCGAGATGAAGCAAAAGTTGCATCTTAAAAAAGCACAATAACATGCTCCATCTTTCTCACACAGAGAAATGTTTGTTAAGTAATTAAAATGTAGATGATGATACAAAGAGCTTGATTAAATTAGATGCCAATGTACCCTTGTGATTCAGAATACGAATGGTATTTAATTTCTTTGAAATCATTAATTGCTGAGTGACATTAATTAATGCCAATATTCCAGAAGTTGTTCTAGTTAGTGAAATGTATACAACATGCAAAAGATTCAGAACTCTGAAGGGCAACATTATTCTATAATTAAGAATTAAGAATTAATTCACATTAATTATTGGGGAGAAATAATTATTAAGAATTAATGACTGAGAAAATGCTTTTATTTTTTATTTAGGCAATTATTTTGTGCATGAGCATTACCACAAGTTTTGCAAGAAACATAAATTTAAAGAAACAACTATGTCCAAAAGATGAATTTAGTAACATCTTGATATTTTCCATGATTACAGCTTTATTTGGTAAATCTTTAAATGCACATCATCTAAAGATAATAAATGAAACTTGGAAATCTTGTAGGTAAGGGTAAATATTAGGATGCATCCAGTTACATTTACACACACATACAGTTACATTTACACACACATATATGCATACAGACTGATACATGTGTGTTTATATACATATGAATTTACTAATTGATTTAACTAATATTTATAAGAGCTAGTTGGATGGATATATATTGTTGAATCTGAAAAATATTTATTATATTCATGCTTAAAATACACACAGAAATAAATAGTAATTGCACTAGGCATTTGAAACTGTACTAAAATATAAGCTGTGAACATTTTGTGATAATTACAGATTCTTACACTGAATAAATATTTTTATTTTTACAATATTAATATGTTTGACACCTGTGTACATTTTTTACAATGTTTTATTTTATTTTTGTCATAGAGTCATGTCATGCATAATAACATTTCAGTCAAAGATGGATTACATATACAAAAGTGGCCCCATGAGATTATAATACATATTTTTACATACTTTTCTACATTTAAGTATGTTTAGATACATAACCTCTTACCACTGTGTTCTTATTGCCTGCAGTATTCAGTACAGTAATGTAGTACACAGATTTGTAGCCTGGGAGAGAGAGGCTATACCATATAACCTAGACGTGGTAGGCTGTACAATCTAGGTGTTTGTAATATTCTCTGTGATGTTTACAAAATGATGAAATTGCCTATGGATACATCTGTTAGAACGTATCCCTATCATTCAGTGATGTGTGACTGTACTAAAATGCTCAAGGTAGGTTTCAATGCCCTCCATAAAATTGTTGTATGGTGAAATACAAATCTCTCACCCATGGCCTGAATATGTTTGCAAACTAAGCAGATCATGGGAAGGAGAATGTGCTGGCATCGCTGGGATGATTTTCTCACACTACATGAATAATATCTACAGACTTTGTGAATATGAGCCACTTGCATAGAGTTAAAGTAGGCATCTCTTTGCTGGGAAATTTATCAAATGGGAGTATGAAGTATTTTTAAAAGATACTTGTTTGTTTGTAGCTGGTAGGCCTACAGTGGCTCATGACAATGGTTGAGGTTGCTAAGATTTGGTGGAAGAAGGCAAAATGAAATGGTCACTTATATGGTATATGGTATATGGAACACTTGTTTCTGTTGAGTTACAGACTCAGCTGGCTATTTCTCCCAATGTTAGTTATTTGGAGAAAAAAACGTGATGGTAATTTTGAGGTAACAAATACAATATTTGATGAAAGCAAATTTATTGAGGGTTAGACAAACTACAAGATGCTTTAGGCTGCAAAGTCAACACGAGACTTCTGGCCCAAATTGTGCAGAGTTTGCATCAAGCTGCAAAGTTCAAAGGAAGAAGCCATATAAGACGATTCTCACTTCTGACACCAACTGCCAGTTCAGGGGTTTCCCCTGAACACCCTCAGTTTCAACAATTTACTAGAAAGGCTCACAGAACTCAATGAATGCCATTGTACTCATGGTTTATAATAGAGAAAGGGTAGAAATTAGGACCAATTGAAGAGACATATCATATAATGTGGATTCTAGGAGATTTTGAATGTTAAGTTTCCAATTTCTTCAGCATATATTACCTGTCACTGTTGTACAGCAATAAACATGGAGTACTACCAACCTGGGGAGCTCACCTGATGCTAAAAAGACACTGTTTAGAAAATGAAAAGACAAAGGAAAGGATGAGATGAGATGACCTTCCACATTAAGGCACTGGAAAGAATAGCAAACTAAACCTAAAGCAAGCAGAAGGAAGAGAATAAAAATTAGAGAAATTAATAATTTATAATAATAATATTTGTTAGTGTTGAATAATTGATATTAATTCTTGACTAGCTTTTTTAAAAGAGAGAAATATTCACTTCCAAATTTATTCTTTGGGGCCAGTGTTACCTTGACACAAAAAATAGTACAAACAGCATAGAAAAATAAAACTACTATAAGTATAAATGCAAAATTCCTTAAAAAATACTAACAAATCAGATCTAGCAACATATAAAAGAATTATACACTATGACAAAGTGAAATTTATACAAGTAATCCCAGGTTGGTTTAACAGCCCAAAATCCATTAAGGTAATACATCTTATCCATAGAATAAGAAACGAGAATTGCATGATCATCTCGATATATTTGGAAAAGAGTTTTAACAAAATCCAAATGCTTTAATGATTAAAAATAAAAATAAAAACACAATGAACCAGGAGTAGAGAACTTTCTACACCAGATACATGGCACCTGTGAGAAGCCAACAGCAAGCATGCAACTTAATGGTAAAGGATGCTTTCCTGCTATGGTCAGATATAAGAATAGGATATATACTTTGACCTCTTCTAGTCAATACTGTACTAAAGATTTTATGCAGGGCAAATCCGCAATTAAAAAAATAAGAGTCACCCATATTGAACAGGAAGAAATAAAACTTTATTTGAAAATAACATTCTTGTATATAGAAAATTGTAAGGAATCCATTGAACAATAGAACTAGTAAATTATTTCAGCAATATTACAGCATACAAGATAAATGTACAAAAATCAGTTGCACACATCTACATTGAAAAGCCCAAAATGAAATTAAGAAAACACTTCAATGTAAAATAGCATCAATAAAATAAATAATAATTAATTTGGAAAATGTGATACAAGAGTTTACTCTGAAAATTAAAAATTATTTTTTAAAGAATATCAAAATAATTAGCAAACATCTTACACCCATGAATTGGAAGATTTAATATTGTAGGACTTTACAATTTGAACTACAGATTTGATGAAATCCCAGCAAGTATCCCAACAGACTTCTGTCTAGAAACTGACAAGCTGATTCTAAAATACACATGGAATTGTCACGGACTCAAAATAGCCAAAATAATCTTGAAAAAAGGAAACATATTAGGATAATTCACACCCCCATGCTCCAAACCTTACTGCAAAGTATAAGTAATCAAGAGAACACAGTAGTGATAAAGGAAAAATATATAGATTGATGGAAGAGAATTGAGAGTCCATATATAAAACTATGTGTCTATAGTCAATGGATTCTTACAGGGGTGTCATGTGCAATTCAATGAGGAAGAGACAGTCTTTGAACAAACTGGGTCACCAACCTACACGTGGATCACCACTTGCAAAATAATAAATTCAAACCCTTACCCCAAAGCATACAAAAATATTAATTCAAATGAATTAAAGACACACATGTGAGAACTAGAATAAAGCATATGGGAAAATCTTCAGGATTTTGGATCTAGCAAAGGAATAGCTGTAACACCAAAAACATGAACAACAAAATAAAAATTAGATATTTAAAATTTTCTAAAAATTAAAGACATTGGTGTTTCAAAGGACAACCAAGCAAGTCAAAAGGCAGCTCAAAAATTGTGAGAAGATATTTGAAAAACACGTACCTATAACTCCGTATATAAATATATGTATCTTGAATATAGAAAAATTGTTTTAACTCAGTAACAAATATCCCAACTTAAAACTGATAAATGATAGGAATAGATGTGTTTCCCAAGAAGATACAAGAACGGTCAATAATCCCATAAAAAGATACTCAATAGCATCACTCATCAGGCAACTACAAATCAAAACCACAGTTAGATACTCTATGGCTAGAACTAGCCACTTTGGAAAGTAATTTGATGGCTTCTAAATATATGAAACATAGAATTGTCATATGACCCAGGAATTTATTCCTAGGTATACACACAGATTATTGGAAAGAGGTGTTCAAACACAAATTGTACACAAGTATTTTTAGCAGCAGTATTTAAAATAGCCAAAGGCTGAACACAACTCAAATGTCAATAAAAATAATATTTTATAAACAAAATGTTATATCCATGTAATTGAATGTTATACAGTTATAAAAAGAAATAAAGTACCAATACGTACATGAACCTTGATAGCATTATGCCAACTGAAAGAAGCCAGGCAGAAAAGGCCACCTATTGTATGATTCTATTTAGATAAAAACAGAATAGGAAAATCTATAGAGACAGAAAACAGATTTGTGGTTGCTTAGGATTGAGTAGGGGATGGGTGCATAGGAGGTTAACAGCTAGAGAAGGTGGGGTTTCTTTTTGAAGTGATGAAAATGCTCTAAAATTCATTGTGATGATGGCTCCACTTATCTGTGCATATACTAAAAGCCACTGACTTGTAGACATTAATGTGTGCACTCTACACTATGTAATTTATATCTCAATAAATCCTTTCAGAAATACAGAGAAGAGTAAGGGGTTTTGGACTGTTGCAGCTGGTAGGCAGTTTGAAATACTGAATAGGCCTCATCGAGAATGTGAGGTTTCAGTAAAGACTTGAGGAAGTTGAATGAGCTGACCAATGAATATATGGAGGGCTATCTTTCCAAGTCAAGAAATTAACTAGAGTCTTGATCATAAGGCAGCAGCCTGTTGGTATGTCCAGAGGACAGTGAGGTGGCCAGGACCACGGGTAAGATCAAGGGTGAAGATATAAAAGAATTTTGGCGGTTAACATGCGGCAGATCATGATGGGCTTGCAGACCATTGTAAGAAATCTTGTTTTTAGTGTACATGAAATGGGGAGACAAGGCATTATCCCATTATCAATATTTTAAAAATTGGATCCATGAACCAAATCCAATGAGATTAAAACAATTAATAAAAATATGCAAACTTGTATTAAAATTACAAGAATTACTTGCACATTTGAGAATAGGAGAGTCATTATTTTTATCAGCAATAATAAACATTATTAATTTTAATTGTGATAAGCTAATTGAGATTAAGTGCAACACATCATGTTTTATAATGTGACTGTCAAAAGGAAAATATGATTGTAATCTTATAATACATCTATCAATGTCTTTGATTCATAAGACTATAGAGTAAGCCCCTAGTTTTCAAAGCCAACTTACGAGGCAGTGACATCTTATGCAAGTTTGCTGCTTTCTTCCACAGTGATCCTTGGTCAGCTGGCACAAATTGTTTTACAAACGCCCCTAGGTCTAAAAATAGTTTGGATCACAATGAACACAGAAACACCTTCATCCCTTCGAAAAACCTATCAATTACTTCCAATACAGAATGAAAAATTGACAAAGGAAATATGTGGATTGTAAAAATGCCAGTTAGCTTGCATTTACATGAAAGAAAAATGCCATTTTTATTACATTAAATCATTGTTTTACATGAGTTTTGGCATAGCACAATGCTGAACCAAGGACAAAGAGAGATGAATTAATGAAGTCTTAAGACATCAAGAATTTGAAAGAAAAGCCAGGTCATCTTTGAAGGTTAGTGACATAGCATTCATCTTCTGTTGTCACCTTTTCCGTCATTCCCTGTATGCCTGATGGACAGGTTTCACTCAAGTTCAGAGAACAGCATGCAAAATTAGCTACCAATTAATCTTTATGAAGTGAGCTGCATTTCTAACCAGACTGAGCTTCCGTTTTAGCAGGAAGCATTTTTGGGAAATGTTTATGTTAGAGTTTGCCCTTCTTGACAAGGTGAGACATAAATGTCTACTTTAGAGACATGAATTAAGAGGGGAAGATATTTGGGGGAATCATTTACTCAATCGCTAAATAATAAAGGTACACAACGGGCAAATTATACTAGATTTCTGTCCCACTTGTTTTCTGTGTCTCATGCAATTCACCTTGATTCCCTTCAGTTTCTGTTTAATGTAGAAAGTGACATTTTCATTATTTTAAGCTTCTAGCACAAATAAAGAATTTCTCTTTCTCATGAACAGGATCATAAATAACAGGGAGGAAGAGTGTCCTATATCATATTTATTGTTAACAAAACACTGCTCCACGGCTTAAATTCAGTTTAAAAAAGATAGTTGATTGAACATCTAACTCATACATAAAAGGCAGTAAAGACAAATGAGAAGAGGGCAGGATATTGAAGTATACAGACATCAATGCTGAGTTTTATATCTTAGGAAGTTACTCCACCTTACAGAGGCTCAATTTCCCCTGATTTAGGAAGGCGATGCTAATGGGTATTGCATAGGTGTAAGTATAAAAATGTTGTGTTTAAGGGAATCCCACAAGCTTGGTATACGGCAGAAAATAAATAGATGTGACATGAATAAGTAGTTTATTACATTTGTATGCTACCTGTGGACTAGAGGAAGCAAGCAACACAGACACTATGCTTGATTAGCATTATACAGATGGTACAATGATGGTTGTCAGAAGCTGGGGGGAGGAAGAAATGGGGAAGTATTGTTTAATGGGTATAGAGTTTCAGTTTTACAAGATGAAACGAATTATGGAGATGGATGGTAGGGACGGTTGCACAATATTATGACTATATTTAGTACCACTGAACTGTACACTTAAAATGGTTAACAGAGTACATTTTATGTTATGTGTATTTTACCACAATAAAAAAATAAAATACCTTAGGAACATTTTCATGAAAAAGCCCACATAAAATTCATTTTAAAGAAAGTGTTTATGCGTAGCTTTCTATTTTTCTCTTTTCTCTTTATATTCCAAATTCTAATCAGAGAAGGGAATCCCCTCTGTACCTCCAGGATATTCAGTAAAGACCACTGGAGGTTCATGCCCTAGTAACAGTGCTCATTTACCTCCAAATTACAGATGGCCCTAGACTAACTCCACAAAGTTTAAAGAGAAGATTTAAAACAACAACAGACAAATACTCATCCTGAAGTTACTGAAATGCCTGCCACAACATTGTTCAAAGGTAGCCAATAAAATCTAGATATTCAATAGCATAACATCAAAATACCCAAAAAAAACTCTGACATGCAAAGAAGCCACAAGATATATATAATTAAGACATATATTAACAGGATAAAAATAAGTCATTTATAAATGACAGAGAAGAAGGAAATTTCAAGGTCCTTAAAGTAAATATATTTTATAAATACATATAGATAAATACATATATATATGTCAAGGTACTTAAAAGAAATTTGAACATAGGAGAAAAATAGAAGTTATAAAATGAAAAATGTGACATGTATAGATGAAAAATAAATATTTGAAATAAAAATTCCATGAGATAGAATAAGTAATGGATTTTACCCTAACTTCAGAAAATTTATAGAAAAAAATAGAAGTTTTACAAACTAAAGGACAAAGGGTAAACTAAAATAAGAAAGCCAGAAACTCACTGATACGTCAGACAATATGCAGCAGTGTAACATACATGTAATTAATATCTCAAAAAGCGTGGGTGGGGGGAATATAGGTGAATAAAGAAAGGTACACTTATTCCTGAGGCACCAAGGAAGGAGGATAGCTTTAGATTTCTAAAGGAGGGTATTGTCCATTCATGAAGGTCCAAAGACGTGAACAAACACCTCCCAGTAAGCCCCACCTGCAACATTGGGAATCAAATTTTAACATGAGATTGGAAGGGGCAAACATTCAAACCATAGCAAGAATTAAATTTCCTTTTTAAAAAAATCACTGATATGATTCCATTTCGCCATAGATAAAAGGTAGTATTTCAGCCTACCATTGAGTGTGCTTATAGCTCAACAAAATGGCACTCTGTCTCGGGAATACAGATTTGCCTAGAGATATCCTATTGCAGTCAAAGAAAGAGCAATGAGGGATAGAAAATATTAGTGATGGAGACACCAGCGCTGCATTTTGCAACAAACAATTTAAAAACTTTACGGATTGGTTCTGCTAACTTACTACAGTTTACATTCCTCTCAGGTAGCAGAATTGTTCCGTTTTTTCTTAAGATAGAAAAGCAATTCAGATAATCTGAAATCTCCACAAGAAGGATAAGAAGCACAGCAGAAACTATTCTAGGCAGGAAGTCAATCCTTTCAACTGTCTGTGCTCCATAGAAACAATTGTCTGCAATGGGAGTCATATGTGGTACAGAAAACAGCCAGACTTCTGATCCTCTCATTAGTGATTTCAGAAGAACTTACCAGTCAACTGAGTAATTCACTGAGTAAAGTAAACATTTGGCACTGAAAGAGGTTAGACGGATAACTATTTGTATCACCATATTCATGAAGCTGGAATATTTTCCATTACTGGTATCACATCCGAATGGAAGATGTTAAAAGGTCTCTCATTTTGTAAGATGGATATGAAAGAACATTTTCTGAGAAATGAAATTATTAACACACGTGCGAGGTGGATGGAAGAGAAAAAAAAGAATAATCACCTTGAGTTCTTCTCCTTGATAAGACAACTCACTAAAAACATAAAGAGAAAAATACAAGTTTAAAATAACCAGAAGACGACTCTAGAGTTTTTAAATTGCTGATAAGACTTTAATTTGCTGCAAGTTGAAAATAATTATATTGTTTGTGTTTTAAGGCACATAATGAGCAATTATATCACACATGATATTTTCAGCGGTAAAATATAATCCGTTAACAGCTGGAACTCTTAAAAGCATAGCACAATGTGAAGGTGGAATTTGCTAAAATAAACCATCTGCTGAAAACTACTATTCTGCAAATTTAAAAATAAAGTTTAAATGTTATTTGTCTTATTTAATAGGTCTGTGAAAAAAATGCGCTCTTTGAAAAGTAGGTGCTACCTTCATTAATTCCTGTTTTTTTATTACAATTTAAGTTTTAGGGTACATGTGCACATTGTGCAGGTTAGTTACATATGTATTCATGTGCCATGCTGGTGTGCTGCACCCACTAACTCGTCATCTAGCATTAGGTATATCTTCCAATGCTATCCATCCCCGCTCCCCCAACCCCACCACAGTCCCCAGAGTGTGACATTCCCCTTCCTGTGTCCATGTGATCTCATTGTTCAATTCCCACCTGTGAGTGAGAATATGCGGTATTTGGTTTTTTGTTCTTGCGATAGTTCACTGAGAATGATGATTTCCAATATCATCCATGTCCCTACAAAGGATATGAACTCATCATTTTTATGGCTGCAAAGTATCCCATGGTGTGTATGTGCCACATTTTCTTTTGACTATAGGTCTCAGTCTTACTTCGGTTAATGTATTTGAATTTATGCTAATAAAGTCCTATAGCTAAAAAAGATTATATAAAATTATCTATATTTTTACTAGTATTCTGGTGTCATTTTAAATTATGTAATGAAATCAAATTTTAATTTGGATTATTGTTATCTGAGTTAAGTATCTAAATTTTTAATTTTCTTATAAATATTACATGACTATTTCTGAACCACATATTGACTAATCTGGCCTTTATATGATGTACATTATAAGAGCTTGGGATTGTTTCATTTGCAAAGATGAATGCTTGAGAAGTAGATATTTAATCATAACATTTCAAAATCTACTGTATAACCTAGAATTGAAAAATAGCCTATAGGTTGAAAAACTCCTGTAGTGAAGAAAGAAAATAACTAATATACAGTGACAATATAAATATTATAAGTATTTATTTTATTATCGCCCTGAAATTTGATAATGCAAAGATGTAATATCTACATATCATCCATATATCATGTCATAAAAAATCAATACATTCTTCAAAACTTTAGCATAACAGAAAATGCACTCTCTCTCCTTGATGGAATTAAGTTACAAATAAAAGTAAAAATAAGTAGATAAGTAGATGGAAGTAGATGCTTAAAAACAAAGAAAAGTATTTGTTTTGGATTACATAAAATCTCAATTGGCAATTCCAATATTTCCATAACTTTGGCTGTCAACTGGTGGAGAGTTTTCCCCAGGAGACATTTGTCAAAGTCTAGGGTTATTGTGGGGATGTCAAGACTGGTGGAGGTGTGAAACTTAGAGGTCAAACGAAACACTTAGCATTGCTAGGCCAGTCTCCCACAACAAAGAATCCTCTGGTCCTAAAGGTAAGTAGCACCAAGGTTCAGAAACCATAATATAGACAGGAACACTATGTAGCTATTCCAAGTGTTTAGGAAAACACATCAGTGCCCTCGAGGGGAAAAGTGTAAACATTTTAATTGCTGTACATGGTGACACAAATCCATGTTGTTAATCTAAGTGGAAGGGGCTAAAGCACAAAATGTAATTCAAAGAGTTTACTTGAGCCAAAATGAGGACAGCTGCCTGGAAGAAACAGACCCAAGTATCCTTGGATATGAACTCCCTTTGGAGCTTTGCAACAAGCAGTTTCTTAAAGGCAAAAAAGGGTCCAGAAGTGGGATGATGCAAAGAGGTTTGTCACAAATTCTCATTGGCTTATGGAAATAACATTTATTAGTGACTGGCTATACACTGTTACACTATTATGGGGTGTGGATTATAGGGTCTGGTGTGGCGTTATTGGTTAATTTATAGCTCCTGTGGCAACAGCAAGCAGCCTAGATGAACACACAGCTCAAAGAGGAGCAGGACAGAACTGCTGTCTCATTTGAATATCTCTCTGGGCCTGATTATTTAAAAGGACTTGCATTTCTCACATGAAAGTTGTTTTTTTCTCAATGTCCATAAATGAGAACAAATAGACTTAAAATAGATCTTTTCGAGGATGAAGTAAATGGAATGAAAATCAAAACCCAAGCTGACCAGAAATCATAGAGGAAAGAAAAGGTTATAAATATATGGATTTTTCAAAGTGATTTTAAGCTACTAGGAATCAGTTAAATGTTGGGGGGTTTTGTCTGAGAATGGGCTAAAGGAGAATGTCCCTGTTGCCTTCTGAAGTTTCCCTGAAAATCACTAATAGGAGGCAGGTAAATAATAGAAAAGGCATACAGGATTCTGCAATGTGTGTACACCGGAGCCCTTAGAATGAAGACACAGACACACGATGAGTGCAGAAGCTTATCTACCACATGAAGTTTACAGAAAGAATGGGGTCTTGGATCACAGGGAAAAAAATAAGGTTATGTGAGAAAACGACCCTGGCTAGCAACAGTGGACTTATTACCTAGGTGGAACCTCACTGGGAGCAGTCCTCAGAGAAAATAGACAGAAAATGTTTCTTTCAGACCTTTAGAGACCTCAGACTCTCATTTAAGCTTTCCTAGATCCAGACAAGGGGGCAGACCTCAGAGAAAGCCTGGCTGCATCAAGGCAGATTATCTACCTATGCAAATCTCCCCAAGACAGCTTTGCAGCTAAGTTTGCATTTCCAGCCCTTCTCAATATCCATTTTGAAATATATCAAGGAAATATATTTAGGGGTAAAATATATTAGTTTCCTTCATACAGCTATAAAACATACAGGAATAAATTTGTCAATGTCTACTACAAATCCAATATAGCAGTAATTATAAAACCCACCAGATATTGAAGAAAAAACATGTAGAGTACATCAATTACAAATGTTGATACTAAAATGCCAAATAAAATAAAAATAATATCCAACAATATTTGAAACAGTAAGACAAGAAATTGGCAAAAAAAATAAAACAAATATCCACCTTGGGGAAGAAAGTGTGTTTCCAAATTTGGTAATCCAATAATATTAATAATCATATTGATTAGCCCAAATTAAAAATAAATAGGGGATTCTCAGTACATGCTAAAATATATTTGTTAAAAAGCAATATTCATTTCTTTAAAGATTTTAAATGCTATAAAGAGTCCGATATTCTATATGCAAACATGTGTATGTCCATTAGAAGAAGAGAGGCCTGATTTTAATATGTTACTACATAGAGATAGAGAAGTGGATAGATTAATTTGCATATGCATAGAGAAAGCATAATATAGAAATTTACTATCATATTAAAGGAATTTTAATTCAACAATAAAATAATTCAAAGGTAAAATTTTAAATATTTTTAACAGGTACATTATAAATATTAGATAATATTTATACTAATTGTGAAAATATTCAATGCTAAAATAAGATACAATGTCTAAACAAGGAAAATTCAAGCTCGACCTAAAATTATATAGGAAATAAAAGGAAAATTTTAAGGGAGCTCTTTAATAACATAAACATATATATATATACACACACACATATAACATGTATATATGTTATATGGGCTAGATATAGATTTAAAATGTTTTATCTATATTTGTATCTATAACTACAGCTGTATGTATCTACTTTTCTATATATTTACTCAGTGATATAAATATAGACTGGAATAAATATAAAGACACATATGATTCTTGGATAAAGAGGATTTAGTATCATACAGACAAATTCGTTCCAAATTCACTTATGAATTCACAACAATATACAGTTTCATTAGTATAACTTAAAATTTTTAAATAAATTCCAGCATTCTTTAAAGGAATATACATGTATAAAAGCAGTCAAGAAAGAAGCAAGAGTGCACTAAACTAACTTGCTATTAAAATACATTTTTGAACTTAGTCACTAAAACTGAGCAGTACTGATTTGGAGTACTGGAATTTAGGTATATGGGATCTCAAAAGCACAGAGCTCAAAGGAGACCCCTGTATGCACGAGAGCTTAGGATGTGCTTTAGAAGGCATTAGCAAACCACGGGCAAAGTTCCTTTAGTGTGTTAGTCTTGCTAGGTTTGAAAAGGCAGAGAAAAGACTCAAGACCACCATATAAGAGCAAAACAAAAGGACAGGGAGAGTATGTGAAGATACTGAAACATTTTACATAAAGTTGTATAAAACATCCTTTAAAGAAAATGTAAAGTTTAGGATATACATCAAAATCAGCAGAGCCACTAAGTAAATAAATAGACATTGTAACATAGCAAGAGAAAATTTAAGTGGATTTCTAAAAAATATTGACACCTATGATTTTTAAAATATGTTTAAGAAATCCCGTATTTCACAGGGCAGCCTTTCACAACACAGATATGTTAGGACATAAAGGTCCTTCTGTTTTTAATTTACTAGTGTGTATAGGGTTACAAATGTCTTCTACCTTTGTCTTTTGTCTGATGGTGCAAAAAATTTTCATAAGCATGTATTTTTTAATGCCTGATGGATTGACATATATAATATGCTGCTAGTATTAAAATATGTGATGGAAAACACATCCAATCTTCTCACTGTTTACATAAATTCTAGGTTTGTCCTATTTACCTCAAGCACGTATGGAGCGAATTCTTATCTTTTAATATTGCCATGGCATTCACATTGAACATAAGTTGAACTCTCTCATATGGTAGCTGGGTTCAGATTCCCTTGACAATTTCCAGTTCTAACCCTCACAGTTCCTCAGTGTGGCTGGCCCAGATATTGACCCTACACAGTTGCCTCCTCCTGGTGACTACCAGCTATGGAACTGTTGGATACAACCTACCTGACTCACCCCACAGACTTCACAGCACACATGGACAGCCCCTACAAGCCAGAGTGACCTGCTCGGTTGCAGCGGGAGTCAAGAAATGTGACTGCTGGCACTCACCCCACCGACTAGTGCCCCATGGAAAACTCATTTGGGTAATGTTCTGGGCTCAATAAAGGCTGGAGTCCCACAGACCCCTTTTCTCTCTCCTGCTCCCCACTCATCTTCCCCATTTTGTTCAGCCCTATGAGGTGTGCTACTGTATTAGTCTATTTTCACACTGCCGGTAAACACATGCCCAAGACTGGGTAGTTTCCAGAAGAAAGAGGTTTAATAGATGCACAGTTCCACATGGCTGGGTAGGCCTCACAATCATGGCACAGGGTGAAAGGCATGTCTCACATGGCAGCAGACAAACAAGAGAGCTTGTGCAGGGAAACTCCCCTTTATAAAACCATCAGATCTTGTGAGACATATTCACTATCAGAAGAATAGCATGGGAAAGACCTGCCCCCATGATTCAATTACCTCCCACCTGTTCCCTCCCACAATATGTGGGAATTCAAGATGAGATTTGGCTGGGGACACAGCTAAACCCTCTTCTCAGCTACCCTCTTCTCTCTGGATCTGTGAGTAATAAACCTACTTCTGTGATTTCCCATGTTTGGTTCTGTGGCCTCCATGGGTCTGAGCTGACCTACACTGGAACCTAACTCTCCTCCTGGCCAGGGTCTCTGAGAGTGGCCCTTGTCAGAAATACACAGGACACAGGTCAGGCGACAGTCACCAGGCATCTCCTAATCTCAACAGATGTTCTGTGAGAGGGAGGCCTGGTCGTGGGATGCACACCTGGCTACTGCTGGGGTAAGGAAGTGTCCTGTGAAAGGCACATGTTAAGCATCCACAACCCCCTGACCAGAACCCCAGAAAGGCAGGGCTCCAATTGACAGTCACTCTCCAGAGACAAACCTCAAGCCCTAACTGGAGGAAAAGAAAACCATGTAAAAAGTTGAATTTATCTTACTATTTCAATGATCCAGTAAAGACATTCTATGCCTGTACACCACATATTTTCTTCGATTGTGGATTTATTTTGGATATAATTTTAGGTCTGGCTTTCACTTTAGCCCGGTCCCTACCTTAAGCGTAAGGTAAAGATTTTCCATGGGTTCTTTTCTGGTACTACTACCTGCCAGTGTGGGGTCATGTCCTAGTCTATCTTGAGGGAATCCCCCTGTTCATTATTGTCAGAGTGAGACTGTTAAGTCTTGATTTCCCTGGACAACTTCACTGCATGACTTTTAATATGATTTTTTAATATACCCTTTACTGGACAATAAATTATATAGTTATCTGAGTAAGAGATACGGTCAGGAAGAGGCATTGCCTCATTCAGCTTTTCTCTTTGGTGAACTCGCATATGTTCTCCTCATCCGCTAGTCACCTCTAAGCCGTATTGTTCCAAGACAACAAACAGAACTCGAGTGTATATCTTTCACCACTGGGTTTGCATTTGCTCCATAAATCTTCAGGCTTAATAGGGTTTCTGTTAGCATTTTCTCTATTTATTTTCCAATAAAATATCACAGGCCTTCTTCTTATGGAATTATGGGTGATTTCCTTCAATCTGCATCATATCAAGTTGAGGTTCATGTTGATGAAAAGTAAAACATACGTTGAAAATATCAGTAATGATGTTTTCCCCTCCTTTATAGCACCTGTGCTTGTGATACAAGCACATTTTAATACAATTGTGGTCTCATGCTTTGATCATTCCTATGATGAAAATAATATTTTTAGATAAAATATCTTAGTTTTATGAGGCCTTTAGTGTGTGATGTGATAGAATATCAGAAGACCATACTTTTTTCTGGTTTTCCGTGCAATTTTATCATTGTTTCATCTTTACTCCTACCAGAGTAATTTTCCAAGATAGATATGTTGTCATTCTTCCTGTTGTTATCAGTAAATAAGTGAAATGAAAAGCTAGATTATATAATTTATCTAGAACAAGAAAGTAGAATTGAATCTATATTCATTAATGAGACTGACCAGTGAATTACACAGATAGGCATTTTACATTTTGAAGATCATATGGACCCACTGTCAGAAATATAATTATTTATGTCTATATGGACATCAGCTGTGCTTATTTGCATAGAAATCAATGACAGCTGATTTTTTTTTTTATTATATATATTTTTTGAGATAGGGTCTTGCTTTGTTGCCCAGGCTGGAGTGCAGTGGTGCAATCACTGCTCACTGCAGCCTCAGCCTCCCAAGCTCAAGCAATCCTTCCACCTTGGCCTCCCAAATAGCTACGACAACAGGTGCACATCACCATGCCCACTTTTTTTTTAACTTTTGATAGAGACTGGGTCTTGCTATGTTGCCCAGGTTGCTTTTGAACTCCTGGGCTCAAGGAATCCTCTCATTTCAGCCTCTTCAACTGCTGGTATTACAAGCATGAACCACCATATTGGCTGGAAGCTGATTTTTAAAATACTGAGATCATATAGATGACAGCACCTGAAAAATAGACAACACCAAGCTTTATGTTAAAAGGTGTGAGGTATCAATATTGTTGTGGCTATTGGGGAGGAAAACATTAGTAAAACCAGTAAGTTAAAGCTCTTGCTTTAAACTTTGGCTTTAATTTAACAAATGTTCTATAGAGTGACAGTATGTATGTAACCATGCTATGCCCATTCACAGATGCAGTAGAGGGAAGAATTTCTCAAAGACAACTGTTCTAAGACTCAAATTAAACCGTACTGGGTTTGAAAAGAGAAAGTCCAGGAATTACCAGATATTTTAGATATCAGATAAAAGAGAAAGCCAGGTATGCGATGATAATCAACAATGGTTGTTCACACAATATATCAGATCAGTATTTGCATTAGCTTTTGAATTACAAGGACAAATTGATCAAGTCTAGACACTTTAGTTGATAAATCTTATTAGGCTGAGATGTGTTTTCCCATGGTTTTCCACAAGGAGATTACAAATTTGCAAACCTCAGCTGCTCTCATTTTATGCTCTCACCAAGCCAAAAGCTGAAGTTCATCAATCAGTGTGTCTAAGTGTTCACTGGTTATATACCATTTTGTAGTTTAAGCTATCTTTCCAGCTTCCTAAATCATCACCTTCATTTGATCTTGTTTTTTTCACTATCACTTCTTTATTGACCATATAAAAATATAAGTAAGTTCTTATTTTGTTATTGTTCATTTTAGTCTAATTTCATCAAAATATCACAATCTTTTAATTTCATTTTAATTTCAAAGATTAAATGAAACCTACATAGAAATGTGTGTAAGATTTGCATTTGCATTATTTTGGCATCAATTTGCTATCCTCCCTCATGCACATAGAGATCATTTCCATATACGTGATTTCAAACATCGAAGTTCAGTATTAAAAGCAGTTGTAAATTATGGTTCTCATTTTCATGATACAATTACAATATAAACTTCTTGCTTCTGTAACCAATTACCACAAAATTCATATCTTACAATAAAGTGAGCGTTAATCCTACAGTTCTGTAGTTCAGAAGCCTTAAATGAAACTCACAGGGCTAACATCAAGTTTTGGGCAGGGCTGCAGTCTTTCTGAGGGCCATGTGGCAGAATCTATTACTTGCTTTTTTTCAGCATTCATAGGCCACCTTTATTCCTTGGAACATGACCTCCTTCTTTTATCCTATTTTTCTTTTTGGTTTTTGAGATGGAGTCTCCATCTGTCACTAAGGCTGGAGTGCAGTGGCACGATCTCAGCTCACTGCAACCTCTGCCTCCCGGGTTCAAGTGATTCTTCTGCCTCAGCTTCCTGAGTAGCTTGGACTACAGGCACTTGCCACCACTCCCAGTTAATTTTTTGTATTTTTAGTAGGGATGGGGTTTCACCATGTTAGCCAGGATGGTCTCGATCTCCTGACCTCGTGATAAACCCAACCCAGCATCCCAAAGTGCTGGGATTAGGCATGAGCCACCGCACTGTGTCCTCTTTCTTGTATTTTAAATGTCAGTGATTTTGAGTAATTTCTCATGCCACCACCTCTATAGTGGCCTTTCTTCTGCCTTCTTCTTTCACTTACAAGGATGTTTGTCATTTCATTGATCCCATCCATTTAAGACAATCTCTCTATCATTTTTCTGCAACCTTAATTTCACTTGTAATCTAATTTCACACTGCAGTGCAACCTAACGTATTTGTATGTTAGAATCTGGGAATTAGGACATGAAAATTTTGGGGAGAACATTCTTTGGCCTACAGCAGACATAATCTATTTACCTGCAGATTAAAGCATTCTTTATTTTTCTGTCTCCCTCTCTTAATTTTTTAAAAATAATATGAATTGTAGTAAAGAGAAAGAAAGAAAAGGAAACAAAGAAAGAAAAAGAAGGAAGGAAAGAAGGAAGGAAGGAAATAAAGAAAGAAGAAAGAAAAGAATGAGGAAATGAGGGAAGAAGGGAGGAAGGGAGAAAGACAGGAAGGGAGAAAAAAGAAAGCATGAACACAAGGAAGAAAGAAGGAAAGAAAGAAAGAATGAATGAATGAAAGAGAAAGAAAGAGAGAAACAGAGAAAGAAAGAAAGAAAGGAGGAAGGGAGGAAGGAAAGGAGGAAGAGAGAATGGTAAAAGGGAGGAAGTCAAAGAAACAAAGAAAATAAAGAGGCAAAGAAAGGAAGGAAAAAGAGGAAAGGAAGGGAGGGAGGAAGGAAGAAAGGGAGGGCGGGAGGAAGGGAGAAAAAGGAAAGAAAGCAAGACCGTCAGAAAGAACAAAAGAATATGAGAAAAGAAGGAAGAAAAGGGAGGGGGAAAGGAAGAGAGGGAGGAGGGAAGGAAGAATAAGAGGAAAGAAAGAAGGAAAGAAGGAAGGAATGAGAAAAAAAGAAGGAAAAGAAAAAAGAAAAGAAAAGGAAGAGTAAAAGAAGAAAGGAAGGAAGAAAGGCAAAGGAAGGGAAGAGAAGAGAAAGGAAGATGGAAAGAAGGAAGAACGCAAATATTAGAAATTCTGGGTTTGTTAGAAATATGCCATACTGTTATTTTTTCACTTGAAAGGAAACTGTATCTTCCATTGAAGATTGGATGTCTTGTTGGTGATATTGTTGTTATCTTCCACATGATTACTGAGTTTGTGCCTAGTGTTTCCATTACTAAGACAAAAGTGTTGAAGTCTGCAAATATAATTTTGGATTTTTCTAGTTCACCTTTGATTTCTTTCCTGTTTTACCTCATGTATTTGGAGGCTCTGTTGTTAGCTGCATACCCTAATTAGAAGTATGTTTACATCTTCTTGAGAATTGATTATTCTATTATCTATTATCTCTCATCTCTGATAGTATTTCTTGTTCCGAACTCTGTTGTGTCTAATATCAATGTAGTCCTTCCACAGCCTTATTTTAGTGTTTCCATGATATGGCTTTCTCCATATCTTGATGATAACCTATTTATATCTCTGTATATTTGGAGCAAGATATAAAATTTAGACTTGATTTTTTAAAGATTTTTCAAGATGTAATTCTTATTTCTTTTTGTTCTATTTGACATTCTCTGAGTTTCCTATATCTGAAGTTTGATTTTCCATCACTTCTTTTAGAATATTTTTGGCAGTTATTTTGAAAAATATTTCTATTGCTCAATTATTTTTCCCTCTTTTCTTTTTGGGATTTCAATCATAACTAGAATAGTTAATCTCATCTCAGTCCTATGCAGGTACTTTTTCTCAGGGTCTCAGGAATGTAGCCTTCTCACACTTCTGTTCTTTTCCTGGCTGTGTTGGTGAGCTCAGTGATATTCCTCCTTCACCTTCAAGAGCAGTTTTGTTTTGTTTTTCCTGTTTTCATACTCCCAGCATCAGGAGTATACTAAGTGTGGCAGTTTTTGTTGCCTTCCCCTACATATTAACTGGAATATCTTGGTCTATTTGGACTCTTAAAACAAAATAACATAAACTGGGTGACTAAAAAACAACAGATATTTCTTTTTTCACACTTCTTGAGGCTGTAAGATCTCAGGTCAAGATGCTCACAAATTCAGTGTTGATGAGAGCCGATTTCATGGTTCATAGATGGTGCCTTCTTTCTATGTCCTCACATAGTGGAAGGCACACAAGAACTCCATTGAGCTTCTTTTATAAAGGCACTAATCCCATTCATAAGGGCTCGGCCCCAAGACCTGGTCACCTCCCAAGTGTTCTGCTCTCCCTGATCTGTGTCATATATGGACTCTCTTGGATTCCTTACCAATTGCTTGAGAGAACGCAGTGCGTTTGTGGGGAAAAAGTTTTCAAGATGATGGATCTTTTCCAACTTCTTCAGCTGTCAGCGGTCTCCCAATCTCACCAGCCCCACTTTGTCTTTAGAAATTTATTGATTATTCCAGCTTTACTTGTCATAGTGGTGTCTATTTGCATCTGTCCTATGTAAGTGCATCTGTCCTCTTTCTCCTTGCAGGTGTAAGTACTCACGAGTACACTGTTGTTACTAATTACTCAGTATTGGTTGGTACATTGTCAAAGATGAAAAAACATTTTTAATGATAAAAAAATTATTGGAGGCTGTGTAATGAAGGGTTAATTCTGCAGACATGGCTTTCCAAAACCTTGCACATTCCAAAAGTCTTAAGGCCTAGCCCTTGACAAGCTCCTGGGAGATGATAACCTATGAGCCCTTGGTATATGCTGCCTGATGAGAGTCTTTGTATACCTGAAAACGTAGGTCATGTCAAATAGCTGATGTTTACAACGTGATTTCTTGTGAGCACCTGTTTCTGTATGCCTATGACTTTGTGTAATGCCATATTAATATGACATATCTTAGGGCATAGGGAGGGTGGGAACTAAGTAGCTAAGTTCAGTCACAGGACGCTCGATGCATATGTGGTGGAATCCTAATAAAAACCCTGGACTCAAGACTGACTGAGCTTCCCTAGTTGGCAACAAGTTCACACATGTTGTCTCACACCATTGTAAAGAAAATTAGTCATTGTGAAGTCCCCACTATGAAAGGACACCTGTAAGCTCACATCTGGTTTGTCCTGGACTCAACTTTATGTGCTTTTATGCTTCTGATTATTTTAATCTGGTTTCTTTCACTGTTAGAAACTATAACCACAGAAAAAATCAGCTTTCTTGAGTTATGTGAATCATTAAACCAAAGGGGACTTGGGGACCCCCAATAGAAAGTATATATATTCTTAAAAAGAAAAAGAATACTGGCTATAACAGATATTGCTGATGACTTGTCTTCTATGTCCTGGACTCAATGTGTTCACCTGAAATTCACCTGTTTCCAGCTAACTGAGAGCTCCCCACATCATGCCTGTCTTTCTGATTTTTGGGCCTGCCTGCAAGCTTCTTGAGGCTAACCAGTGCTTCTCAACCACACATAGGAACAAAGAAAGAGTTAGGGGTGGAGAGTTAATGATTCTAAGGCAATCCTTAAGCAATAAGAGATGGGGATTCCAGCATCCCCATCTCTTTGTAAAGTTATTTTGAGACAATCTCCATACCTCCATCATTACTGAGCACATAGCAGTAACTACTCATTCACACTGGCTTCGTGTTCTGTTTCATTTTCTCCACTTCTGTGCTTTCTCACTCAATTTCTGATTAAAGTATCTGACCCCAGATATTTGTTTCATAGTCTATTTTTGAGGGAATCCAGAGCCAAGACAATAACAATGGGAGCTTTGCAATGAGGGAGGGTGAGTGTAATCATCAGAAGGTTACCTACCTCACTGGGAACATGAAGGCCTGGAGAGCTTGCTGTTTTAATGAGAGAAACATGTTGAATCTCAGTTGAATACATATATATATATATATATATATATATATATATATATATATATATATGTGCAATAAGACGTGCCCTTTACTTATATCAAAGGAAAGTGCTCTTTACCTCTCTTTGTTGTTGTGTTTTTATCACTATTGCCTACACAAGCAGAATATCATACCCAGGATTTAAAGCCCTCTCTGCAGGATTTTCAAGCTCATGTTTTTATCATAAGTCACTCTGCTTCCATGTGTTTTCAATCTAATCCTTATTCCTCTGCTTTTACACCAGAGAATTCTCACTGACTTATTTTTGACTGACCTCCTTCTCGAGCTGTCAAGTACACAATTTCTGCTGTGACCTTTCTCTTAGAGTTCAGTCATATAGCCTCTCACTAGATATCATTTCCTCTTATCTTTCCTAATAATGAATTGTCAGTTAAAACTCAATAATTTTAAGATTGAGCTTACCATCTGCACACACACATACACCATTATTGGTGTATTCTCATAGACTTGAAACACTAATGTCACGTTGATGTCTGCCTTTTCTTTCTCTGCTACCTCATTCCTCATCCTTAGATTATTCTAAAAGATTCAGTTAGATCAAGTTGGCTAATTATATTTATAAGATCCTCTCTAGCCTTACCAAATTTTCGTTTAACAAAAATTAAAAATTTCTGGCAGGAGACTGTTGAAATCCCCATGGATGACTGTGGTTTTACTATTTTACCTTTCATTTTTAATAGGTTTTATATTATGTATTTTGAAATAATGCTATTGTGTGCATACATATATCTTATTTACATGACTTCTTGGTGTATTTTCCCCTTCGTCATTTTGAAATGTTATTCTTCATCCCCAGTGATATTTCCTGTTCTGACGTCTACTTGCTCATCACAGTTTTAGGGGGTTTTGGTTTGTTTGTTTTTCTATTTTTTGGTTCAAGTAAGTTTCTTATAAATCTGTTCGATTCCATTAGATGATTCCATTTGATTCCATTCGAGGATTCCACTCGATTCCCTTCAAGGATGATTCCATTCGAGTCCATTCAATGATTCCATTCGAGTCCATTTGATGATTCCATTCGATTCCATTCGATGATGATTCCATTAGTGTCCATTCGATGATTACATTCGATTCCATTTGAGGATTCCATTCGATTCCATTCTATTCCATTCGATTCCCTACAATGATGTTTCCATTCGAGTCCATTCGATGATTCCATCCGATTCCATTAAATGATGACACAATTCGAGTCCCTTCGTTGATTCCATTCAATTCCATTCTATGATGACTGCATTTGGTTCCATTCGATGATGATTCCAATGGATTCCATTTGATTTCTCCATTCGATTCCATTCCTTGCTGAATCCATTCAATTCCATTAGATGATGACTCCACTAGATTCCATTTGATGATGATATCATTTGATTCCATTCGATGATGATCCAATTCGATTCTATTCAATGATGATTCTATTCGATTCCATTCAATAATTTCATTTGATTCCATTCCAAGATTCCATTCTATTCCATTCGATGATGATTGCATTCGTGTCCAATGAATGATTCCATTCGATTCCATCCGATGATGATTCCATTTGAGTCCATTGGATGTTTCCTTTCGATCCCATGCGATGATGATTCCATCAATTCCTTTCGATGGTTCCATTTGATTCCATTAGATGACGACTGCATTCGGTTCCATTCGATGATGATTCTAACAGACTACATTCGATGACTCCATTCAATTCCATTCATTGATGATTCCATTCGATCCCATTCGATGATGATTCCATTCTATTCCATTGGATGATTCCATTCTATTCCATTCAATGATGATCCCATTCGATTCCATTCGATGATGATTCCATTCAATCCCATTCGATAATGATTCCATTTGATTCCATTCGATGATGATTCCATTCACTTGCATTCGATGATGATTTCAATTGAGTCCATTCAAACATTCCATTAGATTCCAGTCGATCTTGACTCCATTCGAGTCCTTTCAATGATTCCATTCCATTCCATTCCATGATGATGCCTTTCAATGCCATTCGAAGAATCCATTCGATTCGATTCGTTTATGATTCCATTTGAGCCCATTCTCTGATTCCATTTGATTCCATTTGAAGATGATTCCATTCGAGTCCATTCGATGATTCCATTCAATTCCATTCGATGATGATTCCATTCAAGTTCATTCAATGATTCCATTCGATTCCATTGGATGATGATTCCATTCGAGTCCATTAGGTGATTCCCTTCTAGTCCATTTGATTATTCCCTTAGATACCATTCATTGATGATTCTATTAGTTGCCATTCAATGATTCCATTTGGTTCCATTTGATGATATTTCCATTTGAGTCCATTCGATATTTCCTTTGGATTCCATTCAGTGATGATTCCATTCATTTCCATTCAATGATTCCATTCGATGATGATTCCACTCGAGTCCATTAGATGATTCCATTTGATTCCATTCAATGTTGATTCCATTCGAATCCATTCGGTGATTCCATTCGATTCCTTTCGATGATTCCTTCCAATCCCATTTGATGATTCCCTTTGATTCCATTCAATGATCACTCCATTCAATTCAGTGATCCCATTGGATTCCTTTCGATGATGATTCCATTAGATTCCACTCTATGATGGTTCCATTCAGTTCCATGTGTTGATGATTCCATTAGATTCCATTTGATGATGATTCCATTCGATTCCATTCAATCATGATTCCATTAGATTCCATTAGATGATTATCCAATTTGATTTCACTTGATGATTCTATTTGATTCCATTCGATGATGATTCCATTCTCTTCCATTAGATGACTCCATTTGATTCCATTCTATGATGATTCTACTTGACTCCATTTGATGATGATTCTGTTCGATTCCATTCAATGATGATTCCATTAGTGTCCATTCAATGATTCCACTCATTTCTATTCAATGATGTTTCCAAACGAGTCCGTTAGATGGTTCCATTTGATTCCATTGGATGATGATTCCTTTCGATGCCATTTGATGATTCCCTTCGATTTCATTTGATGATGATTACATTTGATTCCATTCAATGATTCCTTGCGATGATGATGCCATTCAATGCCATTCGATGATTCCATTCGATTCTGTTTGCTGATTCCATGCAATTTCATTCAATTATGATTCCATTCGACTCCATTCAATTCTTTCATTCGATTCCATTCGATGATGATTGCATTCAAGACCATTCGATGATTCCATTTGATTTCATTCAATGATGATTCCATTTGATTCCATTAAATGGTGATTCCATTCAAGTCCATTCGTTGATTCCATTCAATTCCATTTGATGATGATTCCATGCGATGTCATTCAATGATTCTATTTGATTGCATTCAATAATGATTCCATTCGAGTCCATTCCATGATTCCATTCTAGTCCATTTGATGATTCCATTTGATTCCATTCGATGATGATTCCATTCGAGTCCATTCAAAGCTTCCATTTGATTTCATTCGATGATGGTACCATTTGATTGCATTCTATGATTCCATTCTATACCAAACGATGATCATTCCTTTCGAGTCCATTCGATGATTCCATTCACGTCCATTTAATGATTCCATTGGGTTCAATTCGATGATGATTACATTGAATTCCATTCTATGATTCCATTCAATTCCATTTGTTGATGATTCCATTCGACTCCACTCGATTATGATTCCATTCGATTTCATTGAATGATTCTATTTGATTCCATTCTTAGATGATTCCATTCTATTCAATACGATGATTCCATTAGATTCCACTCGATGATAATTACATTCGATTTCTTTCAAAGATTCCATTTGATTCTATTCGATCATGATTCCATTCGAGTCCATTTGATTATTCCTTCTGACTCTATTCGATGAAGATTCCATTTAAGTCCAATCAATGGTGATTAAATTCGATTGAATTCGATGATTCCATTCGATTCCATTCAATGATGATTGCCTTCTATTCCATTCGTTGATTCCATTCGATTCCATTCAAAGATGATTCCATTCGATTCCATTCTATAATTCCATTCGATTCCGTCCAATGATTCCAATGGATTCCATTTGATGATGATTCCTTTCGAGTCCATACAATGATGCCATTCAATTCCATTTGATGATGATTCCATTCGTGTGCATTCGATGATTCCAATTGATTCCATTCAATGATGATTCCATTCAAGTCCATCCGATGACTCTTTTCAATTCCATTCTATAATGATTCCGTTCAAGTCCGTTTGATGATTCAATTCGAGTCCTTTCAATGATTCCATTCGATTCCAATCGAAGCTGATTCGGTTCGAGTCCATTCGACGCTACCCTTTGGGTCCATTTGATGATTTCATTTGAGTCCAAATGATGATTCCATTCAATTCCATTCCATGATGATTCGGTATGATTCTATTAGAAGATGATTCCATGTGATTCCATTCGATGATTATTCTTTCAGTAACATTTGATTATGATTCATTTTGAGATCATTCAGCGATTCCAAATGAATCCATTCAATGATGATTCCATTCTATTCCATTTGATGATTCCATTCAAGTCCATTCGATGATTGCATTTGAGTCCATTCGATGATTCCATTCGATTCCATTTTATGATGATTCGATTCGAGTCCGTTCAATGATTGCATTTCATTCCATCCGAGAATGACTGCATTCGGTTCCACTGGATGATTCCCTTCAATTCCATTCGATGGTTCCATTTGATTCCATGCAATGATGATTCCATTCAATTCAATTCCATGATTCCATTTGATTCCATTCGATGATGATTCCATTAAAGTCTATCTGATGATTCCATTCTAGTAACTTCGTTGATTCCATCAAATTCCATTTGATGATGATTCCATTCGAGTCCTATTGATGATTCCATTCGATTACATTTGATGAAGATTCCATTCAAATCCACTAAATGATTCCATTCGATTCCATTCATTGATGATTCCATTTGATTCCATTCGATGATTCTATTCTATTCCATTCAATGATGATTCCATTCAATTCCATTTTATGATTACATTCGATTTCATTCGATGATGAGTCCATATGAGTCCATTCGATGATTCCGTAAGATTACATTCGATGATGATTCCATTCAAGTCCATTCGATGATTCCATGTCATCCTATTTGGTGACGATTCCTTTGGATTTCATTCAATGATTCCATTGCATTCCATTCGCTGTTGATTCCATTTGATGTTGATTCCATTTGATGTTGATTCCATTCGTTTCCCTTCATTGATTATTCCATTGGATTCCATTCGATGATGATTTCATTTGACCCCATTCGATGATCCTTCCATTCTATTTCTTTCGATGATTCCATTCGATTCCATTCAATGATGATTCCATTCGATTCCATTCGATGATTCCATTCAATTCCATTCGATGATTCCATTCTATTCCATTTAGTGATGATTCCATTTGATTCCATCCGATGATGATTTCATTAGATTCATTTCAATCATGATTCTATTCGAGGACATTTGATGATTCCTTAAGATTAAATTCGATGATGATTCAATTTGAGTCCATTCGATGATTTCATTCAAGTCCCTTAGTTGATTCCATCCGATTCAATTTGATGATGATTCCATTTGAGTCCATTCGATGAATCCATTCAATTCCATTCGATGAATCCATTCAATTCCATTTGATGATTCCATTCGAGTCCATTCGATTATTCCATTCGAGTCCATTCGATGATTTCATTCGATTCCATTGTGTGATGATTCCATTTGATTCTATCCGATGATGATTTCATTCTATTCCATTCGATGATGATTCCATTCAGGTCCATTCGATGATTCCATTTGATTCCATTCGATGATGATTCAAGTCCGTTCGATGATTCCATTCAAGCTCCTTTGTTGATTCCATCCGATTCCATTTGATGATGATTCCATTAGAGTCCAATCGATGATTCCATTTGATACCATTCGATGATTCAATTTGAGCCACTCGATTATTCCATTCATGTCCATTTGATGATTCCATTTGATCCCATTCAATGATGATTCCATTCAATTCCATTTGATGATTCTGTTCAGTTCCATTCGATGAATCCCTTCAATTTATTTCAATGATGATTCCATTCCACTCTATTCCATTTGATGATTCCATTCAATTCTATTCGATGATGATTCCTTTTGACTCCATTCGATGATGATTCCTTTCATTTCCATTCAATGATGATTTCTTTCAATTCCACTCGATGATGATTGCATTCGATTCTATTTGATGATGACTGCATTCGGTTACATTCAATGATGATTCCAAAGGATTTCATTCGATTACTCCATTTGATTCCATTCATTGATGATTCCATTCAATTCCATTAGACAATAATTCCATTAGATTCCACTCGATGAAGATTCCATTAGATTCCATTCGATGATTCCTTTTGATTCCATTCATTGATGATTCCATTCAATTCCATTCAATGATTCCATGCGATTCCATTCGATGACAATTGCATTCACGGCCATTCGATTATTCCATTTGATTCCATTCCATGATGATTTCATTCGAGTCCGTTCAATGATTCCATTCAAGTCCATTCCATGATTCCTTTTGATTCCATTCAATGATGATTCCATTTGAGTCCATTTGATGATTCCATTTGATTCCATTTGATGATGATTCCATTCGAATCCATTCAATCATTCCATTTGATTTCATTTGATAATGATTGCATTAGATTCCATTCGGTGATTCCATTCGAGTCATTTGATGTTTCCACTAGATTCCATTCGATGACACCATTCGATTCCATTCAATGATGATTCCATTCGAGTTCATTCAATGACGATTCCATTCGGTTCAATTTGATGGTGAATCCATTGGATTCCATTCGATGATTCTGTGCTATTCCATTCGTTGATGATACCCTTCAATTCCATTCGATTATGTTTCCGTTTGATTCCCTTTTTTCATGATTCCGTTAGATTCCATTCAATGATGATTCCATTCGACTCCGTTCGATGATGATTCCATTCGAGTCCATTCGATGATTACATTCTATTCCATTCGATGACGATTCTGTTCGAGTCCATTTGGTGATTCCCTGTGATTCCATTTGATGCTGATTCCATTTGAGCCATTTGATGATTCTATTTGAATCCATTTGATGATTGCTTTCAATTATATTCAATGATGATTTCATTCAAGTCCATTCAATGATTCCATTCGATTCCATTCGATGATGATTCCATTCAGGTGCATTAGATGATTTCATTCGATTACACTCAATGATGACTCCATTCGAGTCCATTCGATGATTCCATTCGGGTCCTTTTGATTATTCCATTCGATCCCATCCCATGATGATTCCATTCAAGTCCATTCGGTGATGATGATTCTGTTCAATTCAATTTGATGATTCAATTCGATTCCATTCAATGTTTCACTTCAATTACTTCAATGATGATTCCATTCCATTCCATTCCATGATTCCATTTCATTCCATTCGAAGATGGTTCCTTTGGAATCCATTTGAGTTTGATTTCATTCGATTCCATTTATGATGTTTGAATTCTAGTCCATTCGATGATTCCATTCAAGTCCATTCCACGATGATTCCATTCGATTCCATTCGATGAGGATTCCATTCTTGTCCATTAGGTGATTCGATTCAATTCTATTGGATGATGATTCCATTTGATTCCATTCGTTGATTCCATTTGATTCCATTGGATGATGATTCCATTCCTGTACATTCGATTTTTCTGTTCGATTCCATTCGATGTTTGCTTTTGATTCCATTCGATGATGATTCCATTCTATTCCATTTGATTATGATTCCATTCAATACTATTCTATGATTCCATTCGTTTCCACTCAATGATGATTCCATTCCATTCCATTCAATGATACCATTCGATGAGTATTCCATTCAATTCATTTCGAGGATTCCATTTGATTTCATTCGAAGATGTTTCTATTCAAGTCCATTCGATGACTCCTTCCGATTCCGTTCGATGATGATTCCATTCGAAGTTTCCATTCGATTCCATTCAATAATTATTCCATTCGAGTACATTCTATGATTCAATTCAATTCCATTGGTTGATTGCATTCAATTCCATTCCATGTTTCACTTTGATTCCATAAGATGGTCATTTCATTCGATTCCATTTGATAATTTCATTCGATTCCAATCGTTGATGATTCCATTGGATTCCATTCCATGATGATTCCATTTGAGTCCATTCGGTGATGATTCCATTAGGTTTCATTTGATGATGATTCCTTTTGGTTCCATTAGATGATGATTCCATTAGTTTCCATTTGATGATTCCATTCGATTCAATTTTTGATGATTCCATTCGATTCCATTCGATGATGATTGCATTTGATTCCATTCGATGATGATTCCATTTGATGATGATTCCATTCGATTCCCTTCGATGATAATTCCACTCGATTTCATTGGATTATTCTATTCGATTCCATTTGTTGATGATTCCATTTGATTCCCTTCGATGATGATTCCTTTCCTTTCCTTTTGATGATTTTTCCATTCGATTCCATTTATGGTTATTGAATGAGAGTCCATTCAATGATTCCATTCGTGTCCTTTTGATGATTCAAGTCGAGTCCATTACAGAATGATTCCATTCGATTCTATTAGATGATGATTCCAATCAATTTCATTCGATGATGATTCCATTAGGTTTAATTTGATGATGATTCCATTCGGTTCCATTGGATGATGATTCCATTCCATTCCATTTGATGATTCCATTCGATTCCATTCGTTGATGATTCCATTCGATTCCATTCAATGATGATTTCATTTGATTCCATTTGATGATGATTCCATTTGATGACGATTCCATTCAATTCCATTTGATGATAATTCCATTTGATTTCATTTGATGATTCTATTCCACTCCATTTGATGATTATTTCATTCGATTCCATGGATAATGATTGCATAAGATTCCATGCAATGATTCCATTCGTGTCCATTTAATGCTTCCATTCGAGTCCATTTGAGGATGATTCCATTCGATTGTATTTGATGATGATTCCTTTCGAGTCCATTTGATGATTCTATTTGATTCCATTCGATGAGGATTTCACTCCAGTCCATTAGATGATTCCATTTGATTTATTTTGATTATGATTCCATTCGATTCCATATGTTGATATGATCAGATTCCATTCCTTGATGATTCCATTCGTGTCCATTCAATCATTCTATTCAAATCCATTTGATGATTGCTTTTGATTCCATTTGATGGTGATTCCATTCGATTCCATTTAATGATGATTCCATTCAAAACCATTCTATGATTCTATTCAATACCATTCGATGATGATTCCATTCGATTCCATTTGATTATTCTATTCGATTCCATTCAATGATGATTCCTTTCGATTTCATTCGATGATTCAATTCGATTCCATTTCATGGTGATTCCATTCGATTTCATTCAATAATTCCATTCGATTACCTTCGATGATGATTCCATTCCATTCCATTCAATGATTCTATTTGATGAGGATTCCATTCGATTCCTTTCGATGATGATTCCATTCGATGATGATTCCAGTCGATTCCATTCGATGATTATTCCATACAAGAGCATTCGAAGATTCCATTTGATTCCATTCGATGTTGATTCCATTAGTGTACATTCGATGATGATTCCATTTGATGATGATTCCTTTCAATTCCATTCGATGATGACTCCATTAGGTTCCATTTGATGACGATTCCATTCGGTTCCATTTGATGATGATTCCATTTGATTCCATTCAATGACTTCATTCTATTCCATTCGTTGATGATTCCATTCGCTACCATTGGATGATGATTCCGTTCAATGATGATTCCTTTCAATTCCATTCCATGATGACTCCATTAGGCTCCATTTGATGATGATTCCATTCGGTTCCATTTGATGATGATTCCATTTGATTCCATTCAATGATTCCATTCGATTCCATTCGTTGATGATTCCATTCGATAACATTCAATGATTCCATTCGATTCCATTCGTTGATGATTCCATTCGATACCATTCGATGAAGATTCCGTTCGATTCCATTCGATGATGATTCCATTCGATGACGATTCCATTCGACTCCATTCGAAGATAATTCCATTCAATTTCATTTGATGATCCTATTCGATTCCATTCGATGATTCTATTTGATTCCATTTGATGATGATTCCATTAGATTCCATTCGATGATGATTCCATTCGAGCCCATTCAATGATTCCATTCAATTCCATTCACTGATGATTGCATTCGAGTCTATTCAATGATTCCATTTGATTCCATTCCATGATGTTTCCATTCGAGTCCATTAGATGATTCCTTTCGATTCCATTGGATGATGATTCCATTCGAGTCCCTTCTATGATTCCATTTGATTCCAGTCAATCATGATTCCATACGAGTGCGTTCAATGATTCCATTCGATTCCATTCGTTGATGATTCCATTCGATACCATTTGATGATGATTCTGTTCGATTCCATTCGATGACGATTCCTTTTGATGATGATTCCATTTGATTCCATTTGAAGATGATTCCATTCGATTTCATTCGATGATCCTATTCGATTCCATTCGATGATTCTATTCGATTCCACTCGATGATGATTCCATTCGATTCAATTCTATGATGATTCCATTCCAGCCCATTCAATGATTCCATTCAATTCCACTTGCTGATGATTGCATTCGAGTCCATTCGATGATTCCATTCGATTCCATTGGATGATGATTCCATTCGATGTCATTCAATGATTCCATTCGTTTTCATTCGATTATGATTCCATTCGATTCCATTAGATGATTCCATTTGATTCCATTCGATCATAATTCCATTCGAGTCCATTCAATGATTCCATTCGATTCCATTTGATGATGATTCCATTCGGGGCCATTCATTGTTTCCATTCAATTCCATTCGATGATTCCTTTCGAGTCCATTCGATGATTTCATTCGAGTCCATTCGAGGATGATTCCTTTTGATTCCATTCCATGATTATACAATTCGAGTACATTCAAGGATGATTCCTTTTGATTCCATTTTATGATTATTCCATTCTAGTCCATTCGATGAAGATTCCATTCTATTTTATTCGATGATTCCATTCGATTCCATTCAATGATGCTTCTATTCAAGTCCGTTCAATGATTCCATTCAATTCCATTTGAAGATGATTCCATTCCAGTCCTTTAGATGATTCCATTAGATGATGATTCCATTTGATTCCTTTCAGTGATTAAATTCGATTTCATTCAATGATGTTTCTATTCGAGTCCATTTGAAGATTCCATTCAATTCCATTCTATGATAATTCCATTCGAGCCCACTGGAAGTGTGCATTCGATTTCATTCGATGATGATTCCATTCGAGTCCATTTGATGATTCCATCCGATTCCATTTGATGATTCAATTCGATTCCTTTTGATGATTCCCTTCAATTCCATTCGATGATAGTTCCATTTGATCCCATTCGATGATTCCATTCGATTCCATTCATTGACGATTCCATTGGACTGCATTCGATGATGATTCCATTTGATTTCATTTGATGATGATGGCATTCCATACCATTCTATGATTCCATTTGATTCCATTAGATGTGGATTCCATTGGAGTCCATTTGATGATTCCATTTTATTCCATTTGATGATTCAATTCAATTCCATTCGATGATTCCCTTCTATTCCATTCCAGATATTTCCATTTGAGTCCATTCACTGAATTCATTCAATTCCATTTGGTGTTTATTCCATTCGAGTCCATTCGAGGATGATTCCATTCGAGTTCATTTCATGATTCCATTCGATGCCATTCAGTGATGATTCTATTCAATTCCTTTTGATGGTGATTCAATTCGTTTCCATTCAATGGTTATTCCATTCGATTCCATTTGATGATTTCATTCAATTACATTCGATGGTTTTATTCGACTCCATTTGATAATACCATTCGATTCCATTTGTTGATTCCATTCAATTCCACTCGATGATTTCATTTGATTCCATTTGATAATTCCATTCATTGATGATTCCATTCGAGTCCATTCGCTTATTCCATTCTATTCCATTAGATGATGATTCCATTCGAGTCCATTCCATGATTCCATTCAATTACATTAGATGATTGCTCTATTCAATTCCATTCAATGATGATTCCTTTAGACCCCATTCTATGATTATTCCATTCGATTCCATTTGATGATGATTCTATTAGCTTCCATTCGATGAGGATTCCATTCGATGATGTTTCTATTCAATTAGTTTGATATTTTTTTTAATTCTTTCGAAGTTGATTCCATTCAATTCCACTGGATGATTCCATTCCATTCCAATCGATGATTATTCCATTTGATTCCATTTGATGATGAGTCATTTTGATTCCATTCGATGATGATTCCATTCTATTGCATTTGATGATGATTCCGTTTGATTCCATTCAATGATGATTCCATTCGAGTCCATTCGATGATGATTACATTAGAGTCCATTCGATGATGATTCCATTCGATTCCATTTGATGATGATTCCATTCGAGTCCATACGTTGATTGCATTTGATTCCATTCGATGTTGGTTCCATTTGAGTCAATTTGATAATTCCATTTGATTCCATTCGATGATGATTCCATTCAATTCCATTCGATGATGATTCCATTTGACTCTTTTCAGTGATTCCCTTTGATTGCATTGAATGATGATTCCATTCTAGTTCTTTCCATGATTCCATTCGATTCCATTACATGATGACGTCATTCAATTCCATTCGGTGAGGATTCCTTGCAATTACATTTGATGATTATTCCATTCGATTCCATTTGGTGATGAATCCATTCGATTCCATTTGATGATGAATCAATTCGGTGACGATTCTATTCAATTCCATTTGATGATGTTTCCCTTCCATTCCATTAGATGATGATACCATTCGATTCCATTTGATGATGACTCCATTTGATTCCATTCAATGATGATTCCATTCAAGGCCATTCGATGATTCCATTTGATTCCATTCGATGATTCCATTCGATTCCAATTTTTGATGATTCCATTCAATTCCATGTGATTATAATTCCATTTGATTCCATTCGATGATGAATCCTTCTGAGTCCATTCGATGATGATTCCATTTGAGTTCATTTGATGATTGCATTCGATTCCATTCGATGATGATTCCGTTCGATGCCATTAGATGGGGATTCCATTCGATTTCATTCAACGATCATTCCCTTTGATTCCATTCGATGATTCATTTCGATTCCACTCGATGATGATTCCGTTTGAGTCTATTCAATGATTCCATTCGATTCCATGCGATGATGATTCCATTCGGGTACATTCCATGATTCCAATCGATTCCATTCGATGGTGATTCCATTCAATTCCATTCGATGATGATCCCTTTTGGTTCCATTCGATGATGATTCCATTCTATTCCATTCGATGGTGATTCCATTCAATTCCATTCGATGATGATTCCTTTTGATTCCATTCGATGATGATTCCATTTGATTCCATTCGATGATGATTCCTTTCAATTCCATTCCATAATGATTCCATTTGATTCCATTCGATGATTAAATTCAAATACTTTTGATGATGATTCCATTCAATTCCATCTGATGATAATTCCACTCGTATCCATTCGATGATGATTCCATTGCATTCCACTCAATGATGAATCCACTCGAGTCCATTCGATTATAAAATTCTATTCCATTCGATGAGGATTCCGGTGGGGTACATTCCATGATTCCAATCAATTCCGTTCGATGATGATTCCATTCAATTCCATTCGATGATGATTCCTTTTGATTCCATTCGGTGATGACTTCATTTTATTCCATTCAGTGATGATTCCTTTTGTTTCCATTCGATGATGATTCAGTTTTATTCTATTCGATGATGATTCCTTTCAATTACATTAGATGATGATTCCATTTGATTGCATTCGATGATGATTCCTTTCGATTACATTCGATGATGATTCCACTTGATTCCATTCGATGATTAAGTTTGATTTCTTTTGATGATGTTGATGATGATTCCATTCGATTCCATAAGATGATTATTCCATTCGATACCATTCAATGGTGATTCCATTCGTTTCCATTCCATGGTGATTCCATTTGATACCATTCAATGATGATTCCTTTCAATTCCTTTTAATGATTCCATTCAATTCCATTCAATGACTCCATTTGATTTCGTTTGATGATGATTCCATTCGAGTCCATTCACTGATTCCATTTGATTCCATTCGATGATGATTCCAATCAATTCCATTTGATGATGATTCCATCTGTTTCCAATTGATGATTCCATTGGATTCCATTCGATGATGATTCATTCTGATTCCATTCAATGATTCCATTCGATTGCATTTGATGATGATTCTATTCATTTCCATTCAATGATGTTTCCATTCGAATCCATTTGATGATGATTCCACTAGAGTCCATTTGGTGATGATTCCGTTCGATTCCAGTCGATGATGATACCATTCGAGTCCATTTATTGATTCCATTTGATTCCATTCGATGATGATTCCATTCGTATCCATCCAATGATTCCATTCGTTTCTGATCGATGTTAATTCCTTTCAAGTCCATTTGATGTTTCCATTTGATTCCATTTGATGATGATTCCACTCAAAACTTTTCAATGTTTCCATTGGATTCTATTCAATGATGATGCAATTCGAGCCCATTTGATGATTCCATTCAATTCCATTCAATGATGATTCAATTTGATTCCATTCAATGGTCATTCCATTCAATTCCATTCGGTGATTCCATTCTATTCCATTCGATGGTGATTTCATTCAATTACATATGATGATTCCATTCGATTCCATTCAAAGATGAGTCCGTTCACTTCCATTCATTGATTCTATTCAATTCCATTCAATGATTCCATTCGATTTCAGTCATTGATGTTTCCATTCGAATCCATTAAATGATGATTCTGTTCAATTCCATTTGATGATGATTCCAGTCAATTCCATACGAGGATGATTCCATTAGTGTCCATTCGATGAATCCTTTTGATTCCATTCGAAGATTCCATTCGATTCCATTCCATGATGATTCCATTCAAGTCCATTCAATGATTCCATTGCCTTCCATTTGATGCTGATTCCAATTGAGTCTACTCCATGATGATTCCATTCGATTCCATTCGATGATGATTCTATTCGATTCCATTCGAGGATTATTCCATTAAAGTGCATTCGATGATTATATTCGAGTCCATTCGATGATTTCATTCGATTACTTTCAATGATGTTTCCTTTCGTGTCCATTCGATGTTACCATTTGATTCCATTCGATGATGATTTCATTTGATTACATTTCTTCTTGATTCCATATGATTCCATCTGATGATGATTCCATTCGAGTCCATTCAATGATTCTTTTCGATTCCATTTGATGATGATTCCATTAGAGTCCATTCCTTGATTCCATTTGATTCCATTCGATGATGTTTCCATTCTAGTCTGTTCGATGATTCCACTCTATTCCATTCGAACATGATTCCGTTTGAGTCCTTTCGATGATTCCATTCAATTGCATTCGATGACGATTCCATTCGATTCCATTCAATGGTGATTCCATGGAATTCCATTCGATGATTCCATTCGATTCCATTCAATGATATTTTCATTCGATTCCATATGATGATTCCATTCGATTACATTCGATGATGATTCCATTCGTGTCCATTCGTTGTTACCATTGGAATCCATTTGATGATGATTCCATTTGATTACATTTTTTCATGATTTCATTTGGTTGCATTTGATGATGATTCCATTCGTGTCCACTCAATGATTCCATTCGATTCCATTTGATGATGATTACATTAGAGTCCATTTGATTACTTCATTTGATTCCGTTTGATGATGTTTCCATTCAAGTCAATTCGATGATTCTACTCAATTCCATTCAATGATTATACCATTCGATTCCATTCAATGGTGATTCCATTCAATTACAGTCGATGATTCCATTTGATTCCATTCAATGATGATTTCATTTAATTCCATAACATGATTCCATTCGATTCCTTTCGAAGATGATTCCATTTGATTGCATTTGATGATGATTCCATTTGATTTCAGTCAATGTTGACTCCATTCGATTCCATTCGATGATGATTCCACTAGAGTCCATTCGATGATGATTCCATTAGTGTCCATTCGATGATTATTCCAATCCAGTCCATTGAATGATTCCATTCGATTCCATTCAATGATGATTCTGGTGGAGTCCATTCGATGATTCCATTCGGTTCGGTTCGATGATGATTCCACTCGAGTCCACTCGATGATGATTCCACTCAATTCCATTCCATGATGATACCACTCGAGTCCATTCGATGATTCCATTCGATTCCATTCAATGATGATTCCATTCGATTCCATTCATTGGTGACTCCATTCATTTCCATTCGTGATTCCCTTTGATTTCATTTGATGATGATTTCATTTGTTTCCATACGATGATTCCTTTCGATTCCATTTGATGATTATTCCGTTCGATTCCATTTGATGATTCCATTTGATGCCATTCAATGATCCCATTCGATTCCAGTTGCTGGTTTTTCCATTCGATTCCATTCGATGATGATTCGACTACATTCCATTCGATGACGATTCCATTTGATTCCATTCAATGATGATTCCATTTGATTCCATTCGATGACGATTCCATTCAATTTCATTTGATGATTCTATTGGATTGCACTCGATGAAGATGTCATTCAATTCCATTGGGTGATTCCATTCGATTCCACTCGATGATGATGCCATTCAATTTCATTCATTGATTCCATTATATTCCACTCGATGATGATTCCATTCGATGTCATTCAATGATTACTGCATTCAATTCCATTAGATGATGATTACTTTCGTTTCCATTCGATGATGATTCCATTAGATTCAATTTGATGATGATTCAATTAGATTCCATGCGAAGAGGATTCCATTCGATGATGATTCCATTTGATTCCATTCGGTGGTGATTCCATTCAATTGCATTTCATGATGATTCCATTCGTGTCCATTCAAAGATGCCATTCAATTACATTCCATGACGATTCCGTTCGAGTGATTCGATGATTCCATTTGACTCCATTCGATGATGATTCCATTCAATGCTATTCAATGATTCTATTCGATTTCATTCGATGATGATTCCATTCGAGTTCATTCGACCATTCCGTTTGAGTCCAAACGATTATTACATTAGATTCCATTCAATGATGTTTCCATTCGATGCCATTTGATGATTCCATTCGATTCCATTCGATGATGATTCCATTCGATTCCATTCGATGATGACTGCATTCGATTCAGTTCAATGATTCCATTTGATTCCATTCAATGATGATTCTGATCGATTCCATTTGATGATTCCATTCAATTCCATTCGATGATTCCATTTGATTCAATTCAATAATGATTCCTTTCAACTCCATTCAATGATTCCAGTCGAGCCCATTCAATAAATCAATGTAATTCCAATTCATGTTTCAATTCTTGTCCATTTGATCATTCCATTCGAGTCCATTCGATAATTCCATTTGAGTCCATTCGATAATTGCTTTTGATTCCATTCGACGATATTCCATTCCAGTCCATTTGATGATTAATTTTGATTCTATTCCATGATGATTCCACTCGTGTCCCTTCGGTTATTCCATTTGATTTCATTCGATGATGATTCCTTTCAAGTCCATTATATGATTCCATTCGATTCCATTCAATGATGATTCCATTCGATTCCATTCATTGGTGATTCTATTCAATTCAATCCACTGATTTCATTTGATTCCATTTGACAAAGATTCCATTTGATTCCATTCGAAGATTCCACTCGATTCCACTTGATGATGATTCCCTTCGATTCCATTTGATGATTCCACTTGATTCCATTAGATGATGATTGCCTTCAATTCTGTTTGATGATTTCATTCAATTCCATTAGATGATGATACAGTTCGATTCCATTTGATGATTCCATTTGATTCTATTCGAGGATTCCTGACGATTCCATTTGATGATGATTCCATTAGAGTCCGTTCGATGACTCCATTCGAGTCCATTCAGTGATTCCATTCGATTCCATTTGATTATTCCATTCGCATCCATTTCATCATTACATTCGAGTCCATTCAGTGATTCCATTAGATTCCATTCAATGATGATTCCATTCGTGTCAATTCGATGATTCCTTTCGAGTCCCTTCATTGATTCCATCCAATTCCATTTGATGATGATTCCATTCGAGTCCATTCAATGATTCCATTCGATTCCATTTGATGATTCCATTGGAGTTCGTTTGATTATTCCATTCGAGTCCATTCGATGATTCCATTTGATTCCATTCGATGATAATTCCATTCAAGTCCATTCAATGATGATTCCATTTGATTCTGTTAGATGATTCCGTTCAATTACATTCGATGATTCCCTTTGATTCCATTCCTTGATGATTCCATTCCATTCCATTTGATGATTCCATTCGATTCTATTCCATAATGATTCCTTTTGATTCCATTTGCTGATGATTCCTTTCAATTCCATTCGATGATGATTCCATTCGATTCCATTTGATGATGACTGCATTTGATTCCATTCATGATGATTCCAACGGATTCCATTCGATTTCTCCGCTCAATTCCATTCATTGATGATTCCATTAGATTCTAGTACATGATGATTCCATTTGATTCCATTCGATGATGATTCCATTCGATTTCATTCAATGACGATTCCATTCCATTCCATTCAGTGATGATTCCATTCGATTCCATTCAATGCTTCCATTCGTTTCCATTTGACGGCGATTCCATTTTTGTCCATTCGATTATTCCATTTGTTTCCATTCGATGATGACTCCAATCAAGAACATTCAGTGATTCCATTCAAATCCATTTGATGTTTCCTTTCAAATCCATTCCATGATGATTCCATTCGAGTCCATTCAATGATTCCATTCGATTCCATTCAATGATGATTCCATTCGAGTCCATTCGATAATTCCCTTTGATTTCATTCGGTGATGATTCCCTTAGATTGCATTCAATGATTCCTTTCTATTCCATTCGATGATGATTCCATTCGAGTCCATTCGATGATTCCATTCGAGTCCATTTAATAATTACATTGGGTTCAATTCGATGACGATTACTTTGGATTCCATTCTACGTTTCCATTCGATTCCATTCGTTGATGATTGCATTCGATTCCATTCGAAGGTGTTTCCATTCGATTTCATTCAGTGGTTGTATTTGATTCCATTCGATGGTGATTCAGTTCTATTCCATTCGATGGTTCCATTCAATTCCATTCGATGATGATTCCATTCGATTGAATTCAATGATTATTCCATTCGAGTCCATTCGAAGATTCCGTTCGATTACATTCCATGATTATTCCATTCGTGTCCTTTCGATGATTCCATTCGACTCCATTTGATGATGATTCCATTCGATGCTTTTCGATGATTCCATTCGATGATGATTACATTCGACTGCATTTGATGATTCCATTCGAGTCCATTCAAAGATGATTGCATTCGTGTCCATTCAATGATTCCATTCAATTCCATTTGATGACGATTCCATTTGAGTCCATTTGATGACGATTCCATTTGAGTCCATTCAATGATTCCATTCGATTCCATTCAATGATTATTCCATTCGAATCCATTCGATGATTCAACTGGATTCCATTCAATGACTCCATTCGATCCCATTCAATGATTCCCTTTGATTCCATTTCATGATCCTTCCATTTGATTCAATCCGTTGATTCCATTCGATTCTATTCAATGATTGTTCCAATCGAATCCTATAGATGATGATTCCATTCGATTTCATATGATTATGATTATATTCGATTCCATTTGATGATGATTCCATTTGAGTCCATTCAATGATTTCATTTGATTCCATTCGATGATGATTCCACTCAATTCCATTTGATGATTCCATTTGAGTCCATTCGATGATTTCATTAGATTCCATTAGAAGATTATTCCATTCAATGTCATTCAATGATTCCATTCAAATCCATTCAACGATGGTTCCATTCATGTACATTCGATGATTCCATTCTATTTCATTTGATGGTCATTCCATTCGAATTCATTCGATGATTCCATTCAATTCCACTCGGTGATGATTCCATTCTCATTCATTTGATGATTCCATTAGATTCCATTCGATGATGACTGCATTCGGTTCCATTTGATGATTCCAACGGATTCCATTCTATTTCTTCATTTGATTCCATTCGTTGATGATTCCATTCGTTTCCATTAGATGATGATTCCATTAGATTCCATTCGATGATGATTCCATTCAATTCCATTCAATGACGATTCCGCTTAATTCCATTCAATGATGATGCCACTTGACTCCATTCGATGATTCCATTAGATTTCATTCGATGGTGATTCCATTAGAGTGCATTCAATGATTCCATTTGATTCCACTCGATTCCACTCGATGATACTTCAATTCGAGTCCATGCGATGAGTCCATTCAATTCCATTCGATGATGATTACGATGGAGTCCATTCGATGATTGCATTCGAGTCCATTCGATGATTCCATTCGATTCCATGCGATGATGATTCCATCAAGTCCTTTCGATGATTCCATTTGATTTCATTCATTGATGACTGCATTTGGTTCCATTCGATGATGATTCCAATGGACTCCATTTGATGACTCCATTCGATTCCATCCAATGATGTTCCCATTTGATTCCATTCATTGATGATTCCATTCGATTCCATTCGATGATGTTTCCATTCGATTCCATTCGATGATAATTACATTCGACTCCATTCCATGATTATTCCATTCAATTCCTTTCATTGATGATTCCATTCAATTCTATTCGATGATTCCTTTTGATTCCATTCGATGATGATTCCATTTGAGTCCATTCGATGGTTCCATTCGATTCCATTCGATGATGATTCCATTTGATGATTCCATTCAATTCCATTCGATGTTTCCTTTCTATTACACTCGATGTTGATTCCATTGGAGTGCATTCTATGAATCCATTCGAGTGCATTCCATGATTTCATTCGATTCCATTCGACGATGATTTCATTCGAGTCCATTCGATGATTCCATGTTATTTCATTCGATGATGATTCCATTCGATTCCATTCGATGATTCCATTTTATTTCATTCGATGATGATTCCATTCGATTCCATTCGATGATCCCATTCGAGTCCAAAGATTCCTTTCAAGTCCATTAAATGATTCCATTTAATTCCATTCGGTAATGACTCCATTCGAATCCATTCAATGATGGTTCCATATGATTCCATTCGATGATTCCGATGGATTCCATTCTTTGTTTTATTTTGATTCTTTTTGATGATGATTCCTTCCTCTTTCATTAGATGATCCCATCTGATTATAATCCATGATGATTCCATTCGATCCCATTTGATGAAAATTCCATTTGATTCCATTTGATGATGATTGCATTCGATTCTATTTGATGCTGATTCTATTTGATTCCTTTTGATGATGATTCCATTCAATTCCATTCAATGATTCCATTTAATTCCGTTCAATTATGATTCCATTCGAGACCTTCCAATGATTCCATTCGATTCCATTCAATAATGATTCCATTTGAGTCCATTTGATGACTCCATTCAAGTCCATTTGATGATTCCATCTGATTCCATTCGATAATGATTCCATTAGGGTCCATTCGATGATTCCATTCGATTCCATTCGGTGATGATTTCATTCGATTCCATTCAATGTTTCCATTCAATTCCATTAGATGTTGATTCCATTTGATTCCATTGGATGATGATTCCATTTGAGTCCATTCAATGATGGTTCCATTCGAGTCCATTTGATGATGATTCCATTCGATTTCATTCGAAGATTCTATTCGATTCCATTCAATGATGATTCCATCTGATTCCATTCGATGAATCATTCCATTCCATTCGATGATGATTCCATTCCTTTAAATCCAATGATGATTCCATGTGATTCCATTTGATGATTATTCCATTCGAGTAAATTCAATTATTCTATTCGATACCATTCAATGATGATTCCAATCGAGTCCATTCGAAGATTCCATTTGAGTCCATTCAATGATTCCATTGAAGTCCATTCGATGAGTCCATTTGATTCCATTCGATGAAGATTCCATACGAGTCCATTTGATGTTTCCATTTGATTCCATTTGATGATGATTCCATTCCAGGGCATTCGAGATTCAATTTGATTCCATTCGATGATGATTCCATTGTACTCCATTTTGTGATGATTCTTTTTGATTCCATTCCATGATGATTCCATTTGATTCCATTCGATGATGATTCCTTTTTATTCAATTCAATGATTCCATTCAATTCAATACGATGATGATTCTTTTCGAGTCCATTCAATGATTCCATTCAATTCCATTCGATGATTATTCCATTCGATTTGATTTGATAATTCCATCTGATTCCTTTCAATGATTATTCCATTCAAGTCCATTTGGTGATTCCTTTCGATGCCAATTGAAGATGATTCTATTTGATTCCATTCGATGATACCATTCGATACCACTTGTTGAGGATTCCCTTCGAGTTCATTCGATGATACCATTAGATTCCATTCAATGATGATTCCATTCGAGTCCATTCAAAGATTCTATTCGAATCCACTTGATGATGGCTTTTGTTTATATTTGATGATGATTCCATTCGACTCCATTCGATGATTCCATTTGATTCCATTCGATGATGATTCCATTCGAGTCCATTGGATGATTCCATTTGATTCCATTCTCTAATGAATACATTCGAGTCCATTCAATGATTCCATGCAATTCCATATGATGATGATTCTTTTGATTCCATTCCATGATTGCATTCTATTCCATTCAATGTTGATTTCATGAGAGTACATTAGATGATTCCATTCGATTCCATTTGATGTTGATTCAATTCGTGCCCATTAGATGATTTCACATGATTCAAGTCGATGATGAGTCCATTCCAGTTCATTCGACAATTCCATTTGATTCCATTAGATGATGATTGCATTCCATTCCATTCATTGGTGATTCCATTCATTTCGATTCATTGATTCCATTCCATTCGATTAGACAATGATTCCATTTGATTCCATTCTATGATTCCACTTGATTCCACTTGATGATGATTCCATTTCATTCCATTCGATGATTCCATCTGATTCCATTCGATGATGATTGCTTTCGATTCCATTCAAAGATTCCATTAGATTCCATTCAATGATGATTCCGTTCGATTCCATTTGATGTTTCCATTTGATTCTATCCAAGGATTCCATCCGATTCCATTCAATGAGGATTCCATTAGAGTCCATTCGATGATTTCATTCCAGTCAATTCAATGATGCCATTCGAGTCCATTTGATGATTCCATTTGATTCCATTCGATGATGATTCCCCTAGATTCCATTTGATGATTCAATTCAAGTCCATTCGATAATTCCATTCAACTCCATTCGATGACTATTCCATTCGATTTCTTTCATTGGATACATTCGATTCCATTCGATGATGATTCCATTCGATTATATTTGATGATTCCATTTGATTCCATTCGATGACGTTTCCATTCAATTCCATTCGATGATCAGGCATTCGAATCAATTCCATGATGATTCCATTTGATTCAATTCCATGATGTTTCCATTCAATTCCATTTGATGATGATTCCATTGATTCCATTCAAGTCCATGTGATGATGAGTCCATACGAGTCCGTTCATTGATGATTCCATTCCATTTCATTTGATGCTTCTATTCGATTCCAATCGATGATGATTCCATCTGACTCCATTCGATGATTTCATTTGAGTCCATTCAGTGATGATTCCATTCGCTTCCATCCGATGAAGATTACATTTGATTCCATTTGATGATTCCATTCGATTCCATTCAATGTTGATTCCATTCGTATCCATTAAATGATTCCACACGGCTCCATTCGATGACTCTGTTCAATTGCATTCGATGAATCCCTTCTATTCCATTCGATGATCATTCCATTTGTTTCAATTCGGTGATTCCATTCGATTCTATTAAATTATGATTCCATTCGAATCCATTTGATGATGACTCCATTCGATTCCATGTGATTGTGATTTAATTCAATTCCATTCGATTATGATTCCATTCGAGTCCATTCAATGTATACATTCGATTCCATTCGATTATGATTCCATTCGAGTCCATTCGATGTATACATTCGATTCCATTCCATGATGATTCCACTCAAGCCCACTCGATGATTCCATTCGAGTCCATTCAATGATGCCATTAGATTCCATTTAATCATGATTCTGCTGGATGCCATTCGATGATTCCATTCGATTTCATTCAACGATGATTCCACTTGTGTCCATTCGATGATTCCATTCGATTCCATTTGATGGTCATTCCACTCGAGTCCATTCGATGATTCCATTCAATTCCATTTGATGATGATTCCATTATAATCCATTTGATGACTCCATTCGATTCTATTCGATGATGACTGCATTCGGTTCCATCTGATGATGATTCCAATGGATTCCATTCGATTTCTCCATTTGATTTCATTCGTTGATGATTCCATTCGTTTCCATTAAATGATGATTCCATTAGAATCCATTCGATGATGATTCCATTCGATTCCATTCAAAGATTCCATTCAATTCCATTCAATGATGATTCCATTCGATTCCATTTGATGATTCCATTCGATTCCATTCAATGGTGATTCCATTAGGGTCCATTCGATGATTCCATTCGATTCCATTCGATGATGATTTCATTCGAGTACATTCAATGATTCCATTCAAGTCCATTTGATGATTCCTTTCGATTCCATTCGATGATGATTCCATTCGAGCGCATTCCATGATTCCATTCGATTCCTCTGAAAGATAACTCCATTCGAGTCGATTAGATGATTCCATTTGATTCCATGCAATTATGATCCAATCGAGTCCATTTGATGATACCATTTGATTCCATTCGATGCTGACTGCATTCAGTTCCATTCGATGATGATTCCAAAGACTCCATTCGATGACTCCATTCGACTCCATTCATTGATGATTCCATTCGATTCCATTCAATGATGATTATATTCAATTCCATTCGATGATGATTCCATTCGATCCCATTCAATCATGATTCCATTAGATTCCATTCCATGATGATTCCTTTCGATTCCATTCGATGATTCCATTCGTGTCCATTCGATGATGATTCCATTCGTGTCCATTCGATGATTCCAATCGAGTCCCTTCATTGATTCCATCTGATACCATTTGATGATGATTCTGTTCGAGTCCAATCGATTATTCCATTCGATTCCATTTGATGATTCCATTCGAGTCCACTTGATTATTCCATTGGAGTCTATTCGATGACTCCATTCAATTCCATTCGATGATTATTCCATTTGATTCCATTAGATGATTCTGTTCGATTCCATTTGATGATTCCCTTCGATTTCTTTCAATGATGATTCCATTCTATTCCATTCGATGATACCATTCTATTTGATTTGATGATTATTCCTTTTGATTCCATTCGATGATGATTCCATTCAATTCCAGTTGATCATGACTGCATTTGCTTCAATTCGTTGATGATTTCAACGAATCCCATTTGATTTCTCCATTTAATTGAATTTGTTGATGATTCCTATCGATTCCATTAGATGATATTTCCATTCAATTCCCTTCGATGATGTTTCCTATCGATTCCATTCAATGATGATTCCATTCGACTCCATTCGGTGATGATTCCATTCGATTTCAATCGATGATGATTCCATTCAATTTCATTCGAAGATTCCATTTGATTCCATTTGATGATGATTCCATTCGTGTCCATTCAATTATTCCATTCGATTCCATTCCATGATGATTCCATTCGAGTCCATTCAATGATTCCATTCAAGTCCATTCGATGTTTCCTTTTGATTCCATTTGATGATGATTCCATTCGAGTCCATATGATGATTCCATTCAATTCCATTTGATGATGATTCCATTCGGGTCCATTCGATCATTGCCATTGATTTCATTCGATGAAGACTCCATTCAATTCCATTTGATGATTGCATTCTACTTCATTCGATGATGATTCCATTCAATTCCATTCAGTGATTGCATTCTATTTCATTCGATGATGATTCCATTCCAGTCCATTCGATGATTCCATTCGAGTTCATTTAATGAACCAATTGATTTCAATTCTATGATGATTACATTGGATGCCATTCGTTGATGATTTCATTCGATTCCATTCGATGATGATTCCATTCGATTCCATTCAATGATTCCATTCAATTCTATATGATGATGATTCCATTCAATTTGATTCGACAATAAGCCATTCGATTCAATTCCATGATGATTCTCTTTGATTCAATTCGATGATGTTTCCATTTGATTCCATTCGATGATGATTCCATTCGATTCCATTTGAAGATGATTCCATTCGAGTCCATTCGTAGATGATTCCATTCGATTTCATTCAAAGCTTCTATTAGATTCCATTCAATGATGACTCCATCTGATTCCATTCGATGATTCCATTCGATTCCATTCAATGATGATTCCAATCCAATCCATCCGATGATGATTTCATTTGTTTCCATTCGTTGATGATTGGATTCGTGTCCAGTTGATGATACCATCCGAGTCCATTTGATGATTCCATTCGAGTCCATTTGATGATTCCATTAGACTCCATTTGATGATGATTCCATTCAATGACTCCATTCGATTCTATTTGATGATGATCCCATTAAATTTCGTTCAATGCTGATTCCTTTCAATTCCATTCGATGATTCCAGTTGATTCCATTTGATCATTCCATTCTATTACATTCGAAGATGATTCCATTCAATTCAATTTGATGATTCCATTCGATCCTATTCAATGATGATTCCATTCAATTCACTTGGATGATGACTGCGTTCAATTCCATTCGATGATTCTATTTGATTCCATTCGATGATGATTCTGATCGATTCCATTCGTTGATTCCATTCAATTCCATTCGATGATTCCATTTGATTCCATTCAATAATGATTCCATTCGAGTCCATTCGATGATTCCTTTCGAGCCCATTCGATAATTCCATTTGAGTCCAATCGATGATTCCATTCGAGTCCATTCGATCATTGCATTTGAGTCCATTTGATTATGATTCCATTCGAGTCCATTCGATGATTCCATTCAAGTCCATTTGATAATTCCTTTTGAGTCCCTTCGATGATTGCTGTTGATTCCATTCGATGATATTCAATTCGAGTCCAATTGATGATTACATTCGATTTTATTTGATGATGATTTCATTCATGTCCATTCAGTGATTCCATTCGATTTCATTTGATCATGGTTCCTTTTGAATCCATTAGATGATTCCATTCGATTCCATTTGATGATGATTCCATTCGAGTCCATTCAGTGATTCCATTTGATTCCATTCGATGATGATTCCATTCGATTCCATTCGATGATGATTCCATTCGATTCCATTCGATGATGATTCCATTCGATTCCATTCGATGATGATTCCATTCGATTCCATTCGATGATTCCATTCGATGATGATTTCATTCGAATGCATTCGATGATTCCATTTGATTCCATTTGATGATGATTCCATTCGATGATGATTTCATTTGGGTCCATTCGATGATTTTGTCCGAATCGATTTCATGATTGCTTTTGATTATATTCGATGATGATTCCATTCTAGTCCTTTTGATAATTCCATTTGATTTCATACTCTGATGATTATATTTGAGTCCATTCGATGATTCCACTGTATTCCATATGATGATGATTCCATTCGAGTCCATTCAATGATTCCATTCAATTCCATTCAATACCATTCAATGATAATTCCATTCGAGTACATTAGATGATTGCATTCGATTCCATTCGATGATGATTCTGTTCGTGCCCATTAGATGATTCCACGCGATTCCATTCGATTATGATTCCATTCGTGTTCATTCGATTATTCCATTAGATTCCATTCCGTGATAATTCCCTTCAATTCCACTCATTGGTGATTCCATTCGATTCCATTCAATGATTCCATTTGATTCCATTCAATGATGTTTGCCTTCGATTCCATTCGATGATTCCATTCTATTCCATTCGATGATGGTTCCGTTCGATTCCATTTGATGATTCCATTTGATTCTATTCAAGGATTCCATTCGATTCCATTCAATAATGATTCCATTCGTGTCCATTCGTTGATTTCATTCGAGTACATTCTATGATTCCATTCGAGTGCATTTGATGATTCCATTTAATTCCATTTGATCCATTAGAGTCCATTCGATGACTCCATTCAAGTCCATTCGATAATTCCATTTGAGTCCATTCGATGATTCCATTCGATTCCTTCTTATGATTCCATTCGAGTCCATTTGATCATTATATTCGAGACCATTCGGTGATTCCATTGGATTCTTTTTGATCATGACCCCATTTAATTCCATTTGATGAAGATTCCATTCGAATGCATTCAATGATGATTCATTTAAGTCTATTCGATGATTCCATTTGATTTCATTCGACGATGATTCCATTCGTGTCCATTTGATGATTCCATTTGAGACTCTACGTTAATTCCATCTGATTCCATTTGATGATGATTCCATTCGATTCCATTCAATGATTCCATTTGATTCCATTTGAAGATTCCAGTGGAATGCATTCGATTGTTCCATTCGAGTCCATTGGATGATTCAATTCCATTCCATTTGATGATAATTCCATTCGAGTCCATTCGATGATGATTCCATTCGATTCCATTCGATGATTCCATTCGATTCTATTCCATGATGATTCGTTTCTACTCCATTCGATGATGATTGGATTCGATTCCATTGAATGATGATATCGTTCGATTCCATTTGCTGACTACTGCATTCGGTTGCATTTATTGGTGTGTCCAACGGGTTCCATTCAATTTCTCCATTTGATTCCATTCGTTGACGATTCCATTCGATTCGATTAAAGGATGATTCCATTCGATTCCATAAGATGACGATTCAATTCAATTCAATTCAATGATGATTCCATTCGAGTACATTAGATGATTCCATTTGATTACATTTGATGATGATTCTATTTGTGCCCATTAGATGATTCCACACGATTCCATTCGATGATGATTCCATTCGAGTCCATTCGATGATTCCATTCGATTCCATTCCATGATGATTCCATTTGATTCCACTCATTGGTGATTCCATTCAATTCCATTCAATGATTCCATTTGATTCCATTTGATGACGATTACCTTCGATTCCATTCAATGATTCCATTCATTTTCATTTGATGATGATTCCCTTCAATTCTATTTGATGATTCCATTTGATTCTATTCAAGGATTCCATTCGATTCCATTTGATGATGATTCCATTCATGTCCATTCATTGATTTCATTCGAGTCCATTCTATGATTCCATTTGAGTCCATTTGATGATTCCATTCGATTCCATTTGATGATGATTCCATTAGACTACATCAATGACTCCATTCGAGTCCATTCGATAATTCCATTCGATTCCATTATATGATTCCATTCGAGTCCATTTGATCATTACATTCGAGACCATTCGGTGATTCCATTGGATTCCTTTTGATCATGACCCCATTCAGTTCCATTTGATGATGATCCCATTCGATTCCATTTGATGATGATTCATTTAAGTCCATTCGATGATTCCATTTGATTCCATTCGACGATGATTCCATTCGAGTCCATTTGATCATTCCATTTGGGGCCCTTTGTTGATTCCATCCATTTCCATTTGATGATGATTCCATTAGAATCCATTCGATGATTCCATTCAATTCCATTTGATGATTCCATTGGAATGCATTCGATTATTCCATTCGAGTCCATTGGATGATTCCATTGCATTCCATTTGACGATAATGCCATTCGAGTCGATTCGATGATGATTCCATTCAATTCCATTTGATGATTCCATTTGATTCCATTCGATGATTCCCTTCGAATCCTTTCGATGATGATTCCATTCCATTCCATTTGATGATTCCATTCGATTCTATTCCATGATGATTCGTTTCAATTCCATTCAATGATGATTGGATTTGATTCCATTCAATGATGATACCATTTGATTCCATTTCCTGACGACTGATTTCGGTTGCATTCGTTGATGTTTCCAACAGGTTCCATTCAATTTCTCCATTCAATTCCATTCGTTGATGATTCCATTTGATTCCATACGATGATGATTCCATTAGATTCAATTCAATGATGATTCCATTCGATTCCATTCCATGATTCCATTCGATTCCGTTCGATGATTCTTCCTTTCGTGACCATTCGATGATTCCATTCGATGATGATTCCATTCGAGTCCATTGAATGATTCCATTGAAGTCCCCTTGATGATTCCTTTCAATTCCATTCGATGCTGATTCCATTTGAGTCCATTCAATGATTCCATTCTATTCTGTTTGATGATGTTTCCATTCGAGTACATTCGATGATGATTCCATTCGATTGCATTCGATGATTCCATTCGATTCCATTCAATGATGATTCCAACCGAGTACACTCGATGATGATTCCATTCGACTGCATTTGATGATTCCATTCTATTCCATTCGATGATTATTCCATTTGAGTCCATTCGATGATTCTATTCGAGTCCATTTAATGATTCCATTGGGTTCAGTTGAATGATGATTACATTGCATTCCATTCGGTGATTCCATTCCATTCCATTCGATGATGATTCCATTCAATTCCATTCTACGTTGGTTCCATTTGATTTCATTCGAAGATTCTATTTGATTTCATTAGATGATTTTTCAATTATATTACATTGGATGATACCGTTCGATTCCATTCGATGATGATTTCACTTGATTCCATTTGATGATGTTTTTATTCGGTTCCTTTCGATGATGATTCCATTCAATTCCATTCGATGATGATTGCATTTGATTCCTTTCAATGATGATTCCATTAGATTTCATTTGATGATTCTATTCGATTCCATTTGATGGTGATTCAAATCTACTCCATTGGATGATTCTATTCGATTTCATTCGATGATGATTCCATTCGATTCCATTTGATGAAGATTCCATTTGTTTGCATTCAATGATGACTTCAATCGAGTCCATTCAAAGATTCCATTTGATTCCATTCAATGATGATTCCATTTGCGTCAATTTGATGATTCCATCCCAATGCATTCGATGATGATTTCATGTGATTCCATTCGATGATTCCTTTAGATTCCATTCGATGATGATTCCATTCAAGTCCATTCGATGATACCATTTGATGCCATTCAATAATGATTCGATTCGTGTCCATTCGATGATTCCATTCGATTCCATTCGATGATGATTCCATTTGAATCCATTTGATGATTCCATTCGATTCCATTCCATGATGATTCCATTCGAATCTATTCAATGATTCCTTTCAATTCCTTTCGAGGATTCCATTTGATTCCATTCAATGATTCCCTTCGATTCCATTGGATGATCATTCCATTCAATTCAGTGATCCCATTGGATTCCATTCGATGATGATTCATTTTGATTCCATTCCGTGATGATTCCATTCATTTCCATGGAATGATGATTCTATTAGATGCCATTCGATGTTTCCATGTGATTCCATTTGTTGAAGATTCCATTCGATTCTGTTTGATGATGATTCCATTCGATTCCATTTGGTGATGATTCCATTCGATTCCATTAAATGATATTCCATTCAATTTCATTCAATGATTCTATTTGATCCCTATCGATGATGATTCCATTCCATTCCGTTAGATGATTCCATTCAATTCCATTCGATGATGATTCCATTCGTTTCCATTCCATGATTTCATTCGGTTCCACTTGATGATTTCTTTCGAGTCCATTCGATGATTCCATTTAATTTTATTCAATGATGATTCCATTCAATTCCGTTCGATGATTCCATTCGATTCCATTCGATGATGATTCCATTCGAGTCCATTTGATGATTCCATTGGATTCCATTTGATGGTTCTATTTGGTTCCATTCTATGATGATTCCTTTGAATTACATTCTTTGATGATTCCATTCGATTCCATTCAATGATGATTCCTTTCAATTGCATTTGATGATGATTCAATTTGATTCCATTTGATTATGATTCCATTCGACTTCATTTGATGATTCTATTTGATTCCTTTCAACGATTATTCAATTATATTCCATTTGACGATTCCATGTGATTCCATTCTTTGATGATTCTATTAGATTCCATTAGATGATGATTCCATTTGATTGCATTTGATGATGATTCCATTCGAGTCCACTCAAAGATTCCATTCGATTCCGTGTGAGGATGATTCCATTCGTGTCCAGTTGATGATTCCTTTTGACTTCATTCTATGATGATTCCACTCTATGCTATTCAATGATTCCATTCGACTCCTTTCGATGACTCCATTCAATTCCATTCCATGTTGATTCCATTCAACTCCATTCAATGATTACATTCGATGATTATTCCATTCGACTCCATTCGATGACTCCATTCGATTAAATTCCATGTTGATTCCATCCAACTCCGTTCAATGATTACATTCGATTCCATTCGATGAGGATTCCATTCGAGTCCATTTGATAATTCTATTCGATTCCATTTGATGATGATGCCGCTCATGTCCGTTCGATGATTCCATTTGAGTACATTCGATTTTTCCATTTGATTCCATATGATGATGATTGCATTCTATGCCATTTGATGATTCCATTCGCTTCCATTCCATGATGATTCCATTCATGTCCATTTGATGATTCCATTCTTTCCCATTTTATGATGATTACATTGGAGTCCATTTGATGTTTCCATTTGATTCCATTCGATGATGATTCCATTCGAATCCATTCGATGATTCCACTCGATTCCATTTGATGACTCCCTTCATTCTCATTTGATGATTCCCTTCAATTCCCTTTGATGATCATTCCATTCGATTCCATTTGGTGATTCCATTTGATCATGACTCCATTCGATTCCATTCAATGATGATTCCATTTGATTCGATTTAATGATGATTCCATTAAAGTCCATTCAATGATTCCATTCAATTCCATTCGATGATGATTCCACTCAAGCCCATCCGATTATTCCATTATTGTCCATTCATTGATTCCATTAGATTCCATTCGATGATGATTCCATTTGATGCCATTCGATGATTGCATTCGATTCCATTAAATCATGATTCAATTCGTGTTCATTCGATGATTCCATTGGATTCCACTTAATGATGATTTCATTCGGGTCCTTTCCATGATTCCATTCAATTCCATTCGATGATTATTCCATCAGAATCCATTCGATGATTCCATTTGATTCCCTTCAATGATTCCATTTCATGCCATTCAATGATTCCTTTCGATTCCATTCCATGACCATTCCATTCCATTTAAGTCAGTGATACCATTCGGTTCCATTTGATGATGATTCCATTTGATTCCATTTGATTATTATTCCATTCAATTTCATTCGATGATTCTATTTGATTCCATTCGATGATTATTCATTTATATTCCTTTGGATGATTCCTTTTTATTCTATTCGAAGATTATTCCATTTGATTCCAAACTATGATTTTTCCATTCAATTCCACTCGATGATGATTTCATTCGATTTCATTCACTGGCTATTCCATTCAATTCCATTAAATGATTCCATTCCATTTCATTTGACAATGATTCCATTTGATTCCATTCGATGATTCCATTTAATTCTATTCGATGATGACTCCATTTGATTCCATTTGATGATATTTGCATTCGATTCCATGCGATGATTCAATTTGATTCCAATCGATGATGATTCCGATCAATTCCATTAGATGGTTCCATTTGATTCCACTAGATAATGATTCCATTCGAGTCCATTCGATGATCCATTTGAGCCCATTCGATAATTCCATTGGAGTCCAATCGATGATTCCATTTGTTTCCATTCAAGTATTCCATTAGAATCCATTCGATCATTGAGTTAGAGTCCATTCGATGATGATTCCATTCGAGTCCATTCGATGATTCCATTCGAGTCCATTCGATAATTCCATTTGAATCCAATGGATGATTACTTTCAATTCCATTCGATGATGATTCCATTAGAGTCCATTCGATGATGATTCCATTTGTGTCCATTTGGTGATTCCACTCAATTTCATTCGATGATGATTCCTTCAGAGTCCATTCGATGATTCCATTCGATTCCATTCGATGATGATTCCATTCGCGTGCATTCAATGATTCCCTTTGATTCCATTCGATGATGATTCCATGCGAGTCCGTTCAGTGATTCCATTCGATTCCATTCTATGATGATTCCATTCCAGTCCATTCGATGATTACATTCGATTCCATTCGATGACAATTCCATTCGAGTCAATTCGATGATTCCATTTGATTCCATTCGATGATGATTCCATTCGAGCCATTCGATGATTCTATTCAAATCCATTTGATGATTGCTTTCGTTTATATTCGATGATGATTCCACTCGAGTGCATTCAATGATTCCATTCGATTCCATTTGATGATGATTCCATTCGGGTCCATTGGATGATTCCATTTGATTCCACGCCATGAGGATTCCATTCGAGTTCATTCCATGATTCCATTCGATTATTTTCTATGATGATTACTTTCAAGTCCATTTGATGATTCCACTTCATTCCATATGAAGATGACTCCATTTGAATCAATTCGATGATTCCATTCTATTCCATTGGATGATGATTCCATTCGAGTACATTAGATAATTCCATTCGATTCCATTCGATGATGATTCTATTCATGTCCATTGGAAGACTCCATTCGATTCCATTTGATGATGATTGCATTCTACTCAGTCCGATAATGATTCCATTCGTGTTCATTAGATGATTCCTTTCAAATCCATTTGATGATGATTCCATTCTATTCCATTCGATGATGATTCCATTCGAGTTCATGTGATGATTCCATTCGATTCTGTTCGATGATGATTTCATTCGAGGCCATTCGAAGATTGCATTCAAGTCCTTTCGATGTTTTCATTCGATTCCACTCAACGATGATTGCTTGCGATTCCAGTTGATGATTCTATTCGAGTCCATTCGATAATTCCATTTGATTCCATTTAATGATGATTCAATTTGAGGCCATTTGACGTTTCCATTTGAGTCCATTCAGTGATTCCCTGTGATTACAATCGATGAGGACTTCATTCGAGTCCATTCAATGATTCCCTTAGGTTCCATTCTATAATGATTCCATTCGAGTCCATTCAAAGATTCCTTTCGAGTCTGTTCGATGATTCCATTTGATTCCACTTGATGATGATTCCTTTCGAGTCCATTCGATGATTCCTTTCAAGTGCCTTCAATGATTCCATTCAATTCCATTCGATGATGATTCCATTTGAATCGATTCAGTGATTCCATTCTGTTGCATTCGATGATTCCATTCGGTTTCATTTGATGATGATTCCATTCGATTCCATTAGATGATGATTCCATTCGTTTCCATTCGATGATGATTCCATTCAATCTCTTTCAGTGATTCTATTTAATTCCATTCAATGATGATTCCATTCAATTCCATTCAATGATGATTCAATTCGATTCCATTAGATGATTATTCCATTCAATTTTATCTGATGATTCTATTTAATTCCATTCGATGATGATTCCATTATATTCCATTCCACGATTCCATTCAATTCCATTATATGATGATTCTATTCAATTCCATTTGATGATGATTCCTTTTGATTCCATTCGTTGATGTTTCCATTCAGGATTCCCTTCAATTCCATTCATTGGTGATTCCATTCAATTCCATTCAATGATTCCATTGCACTCCATTTGACAATGATTCCGTTAGATTCCATTCGATGATTGCACTTGATTCCATTTGACTATGATTCCATTCGATTATTTTCATTGGTGATTACATTCAATTCCATTCAATGATTCCATTCCATTCCATAGGAACAATTACAATATAATATTGGGAACATGTAAACATATACCCTATGTCTATTTTATGTATAAGCATATATGATTAAAAATATAGTTAAGAACTTTTAAACCTAGTATTATAAAGTAATAATTAGTTAACTTCTGATGAATATTTGTTAATTAAGATAAAATTATTTTGATTTGGGTGATTTTAAATAAAGAAAAATATTAAATTACATGACAAAAATTCTTTATAAAATGTTTATGACTTTAACATTGGTTTTAACACTTTATTCCACTACTTTATTTTAAGATGACCTGTCTTGTTTAAAACACTGTATTCATCTTAATTAAATTAAATTCCATTTGTAAAAAAAGTAACAAATGATTTGCTGTATTGTACAGTGCGGTTATAAACTGAGTCAGTATCTCAAGATTTGATCCCCATTATCAACATCTGTGGCCCTATTTGTTTTATAAATGTATTGTCTTTTTCCATGCCTGTCACATCTCTATTGCTCTTTCGTTTTTCTCTTTGTCCTTTATAGGGAGCATTGCCTATCTCTAGATTAAGCAAAAGTTGCATCTTAAAAAAGCACAATAACCTGCTCAATCTTTCTCACACAGAGAAATATTTGTTCAGTAATTAAAGTGTATATGATGATACAAAGAGCTTGATTAAATTAGATGCCAATGTACCCTTGTGATTCAGAATATGAATGGTATTTAATTTCTTTGAAATCATTAATTGCTGAGTGACATTAATTAATGCCAATATTCCAGAAGTTGTCCTAGTTAGTGAAATGTATACAACATGCAAAAGATTCAGAACTCTGAAGGGCAACATTATTCTTTAATTAAGAATTAAAAATTAATTCACATTAATTATTGGGGAGAAATAATTTTAAGAATTAATGACTGAGAAAATGTTTTTATTTTTTATTTGGAAAATTATTTTGTGCATGAGCATTACCGCAAGTTTTGCAAGAAACAAAATTTAAAGAAACAATTATGTGCACAAGATGAATTTAATAACATCATGATATTTTCCACGATTACAGTTTTATTTGGTAAATTTTTAAATGCACATCATCTAAAGATAATAAATGAATCTTGGAAATCTTGTAGGTAAGGGTAAATATTAGGATGCATCCAGTTACATTTACACACACATACAGTTACATTTACACACACATACATGCATACAGACTGATACACGTGTGTATATATATATATATATTTGCTAATTGATTTTAACTAATATTTATAAGAGCCAGTTGGATTGATATATATTGTTGAACCTGAAAAATATTTATTATATACATGTTTAAAATACACACAGAAATAAATAGTAATTACACTAGGCATTTGAAACTGTACTAAAATATAAGCTGTGAATATTTTGTGATCATTACAAATTCTTACACTAAATAAATATTTTTATTTTACAATATTAATATGTTTGATACCTGTGTACTTTTTTACAATGTGTTATTTTATTTTTGTCATAGAGTCATGTCATGCATAATAACATTTTGGTCAAAGACAGATTACATATACAAAAGTGGTCCCATGATATTATAATACATATTTTTACATACTTTTTTACGTTTAAGTATGTTTAGATACATAACCTCTTACCACTGTGTTCTTATTGCCTGCAGTATTCAGTACAGTAATGTAGTACACAGGTTCATAGCCTGGGAGAGAGAGGCTATACCATATAACCTAGACGTGGTAGGCTGTACAATCTAGGTGTTTGTAATATTCTCTGTGATGTTTGCAAAATGATGAAATTGCCTATGGATACATCTGTTAGAACGTATCCCTATCATTCAGTGATGTGTGACTGTACTAAAATGTTCAAGGTAAGTTTCAATGCCCTCCATAAAACTGTTGTACTGTGAAATACAAATCTCTCACCCATGACCTGAATATGTTTGCAAACTAAGCAGATCATGGGAAGGAGAATGTGCTGGCATCACTGGGATGATTTTCTCACACTACATGAGTAATATCTACAGACTTCGTGAATATGAGCCACTTGCATAGAGTTAAAGTAGGCATCTCTTTGCTGGTAAATGTATCAAATGGGAGTATGAAGTATTTTTAAAAGATACTTGTTTGTTTGTAGCTTGAAGGCCTACAGTGGCTCATGGCAATGGTTGAGGTTGCTAAGATTTGGTGGAAGAAGGCAAAATGAAATGGCCACTTATATGGTATATGGTATATGGATCACTTGTTTCTGTTGAGTTACAGACTCAGCTGGCTATTTCTCCCAATGTTAGTTATTTGGAGAAAAAAAACGTGATGGTAATTTTGGGGTAACAAATACAATATTTGATGAAAGCAAATTTATTGAGGGTTAGACAAACTACAAGATGCTTTAGGCTGCAAAGTCAACACGAGACTTCTGGCCCAAATTGTGCAGAGTTTGCGTCCAGCTGCAAAGTTCAAAGGAAGAGGCCATATAAGACGATTCTCACTTCTGACACCAACTGCCAGTTCAGGGGTTTCCCCTGAACACCCTCAGTTTCAAGAATTTACCAGAAAGACTCACAGAACTCATAGAATGCCATTGTACTCATGGTTTATAATACAGAAAGGGTAGAAATTAGGACCAATTGAAGAGACATATCATATAAGGTGGAATCTAGGAGATTTTGAATGTTAAGTTTCCATTGTCTTCAGGACATATTACCTGTCACTGTTGTACAGCAATAAACATGGAGTACTACCAACCTGGGGAGCTCACCTGATGCTAAAAGACACTATTTAGAAAATCAAAAGACAAAGGAAAGGATGAGATAAGATGACCTTCATCATTAAGGCACTGGAAAGAATGACAAACTAAACCTAAAGCAAGCAGAGGAAGAAAGTAAAAATTAGAGATATTAATAATTTATAATATAATATTTATTAGTGTTGAATAATTGATACTAATTCTTGACTAGCTTTTTTAAAAGAGAGAAATATTCACTTCCCAATTTATTCTGTGCGGCCAGTGTTACCTTGATATAAAAATTAGTCCAAATAGCATAGAAAAATAAAACTACTATAAGTATAAATGCAAAATTCCTTAAAAAATACTAACAAATCAGATCTAGCAACATATAAAGAATTATACACTATGGCAAAGTGAAATTTATACAAGTAATCCCAGGTTGGTTTAACAGCCCAAAATCCATTAAGGTAATACATCTTATCCATAGAATAAGAAACGAGAATTGCATGATCATCTCGATAGATTCGGAAAAGACATTTAACAAAATCCAAATTGTTTAATGATTAAAAATAAAAATAAAAACTCAGTGAACCAGGAATAACTTTCTACACCAGATACATGGCACCTGTGGAAAACCAGCAGCAAGCATGCAACTTAATGGTAAAGGATGCTTTCCAGCTATGGTCAAAGATAAGAATAAGATATTTACTTTGACCTCTTCTAGTCAACACTGTACTAAAGATTTCATGCAGGGCAAATCGGCAACCAAAAAAATAAGAGTCACCCATATTGAACAGGAAGAAATAAAACTTTATTTGAAAATAACATTCCTGTATATAGAAAATTTTAAGGAATCCACTGAACGATAGAACTAGTAAATTATTTCAGCAATATTACAGCATACAAGATAAAGGTACAAAAATCAATTGCACACATCTACAATGAAAACCCCAAAATGAAATTAAGAAAACACTTCAATTTAAAATAGCATCAAAAAAGAAATAATAATTAATTTGGAAAACGTGATAAAAGAGTTCACTCTGAAAATTAAAAATTATTGTTTAAAGAATATCTAAATAATTAGCAAACACCTTACACCCATGAATTAGAAGATTTAATATTGTAGTACTTTACAATTTGAACTACAGATTTGATGAAATCCCTGCAAGTATCCCAACAGACTTCTGTCTAGAAACTGACAAGCCGATTCTAAAATACACATGGAATTGTAAGGGACACAAAACAGCCAAAATAATCTTGAAAAAAGGAAACATATTAAGATAATTCACACCCCCATGCTCCAAACCTTACTGCAGAGTATCAGTAATCAAGACAACAAAATACTGATGAAGGAAAAATACATAGACTGATGGAAGAAAATTGACAGTCCATATATAAAACTATGTGTCTATAGTCAATGGATTCTTACAGGGGTGCCATGTGCAATTCAATGATGAAGAGACAGTCTTTGAACAAACTGGGTCAACAACGTACACTTGGATCACCACTTGCAAAATAATAAATTCGAACCCTTACCCCAAAGCATACAAAAATATTAACTCAAATGAATTAAGGACACACATGCGAGAGCTAGAATAAACCATATGGGAAAATCTTCAGGATTTTGGATCTAGAAAAGAAATAGCTGTAACCCCAAAAACATGAGCAACAAAATAAAAATTAGATATTTAAAATTTCTTAAAAATTAAAGACATTGGTGTTTCAAAGGACAACCAAGCAAGTCAAAAGGCAGCTCAAAATTGTGAGAAGATATTTGAAAAACACGTATCTATATGTCTGTATATATATGTATCTTGAATATAGAAAAATTGTTTTAACTCAGTAACAAATACCCCAACTCAAAACTGATAAATGATAGGAATAGATGTGTTTTCCAAGAAGATACAAGAACGGTCAATAATCCCATAAAAAGATACTCTATAGCATCACTCATTAGGCAGCTACAAATCAAAACCACAGTTAGATACTCTATGGTGAGAACTGGCCACTTTGGAAAGTAATTTGATGGCTTAAACATAGAATTGTCATATGACCCAGAAATTTATTCCTAGGTATACACCCAGATTATTGGAAAGAGGTGTTCAAACACAAATTGTACACAAGTATTTTTAGCAGCAGTATTTAAAATAGCCAAAGGCTGAACACAACTCAAATGTCAATAAAAATATTATTGTATAAACAAAATGTTTTATCCATGAAATTGAATGTTGTACAGTTATAAAAAGAAATAAAGTACCAATACGTACATGAACCTTGATAGCATTATGCCAACTGAAAGAAGCCAGGCAGAAAAGGTCACCTATTGTATGATTCTATTTAGATGAAAACAGAATAGGAAAATCTATAGAGACAGAAAACAGATTTGTGGTTGCTTAGGATTGAGTAGGGGATGGGTGCATAGGAGGTTAACAGCTAGAGAAGGTGGGGTTTCTTTTTGAAGTGATGAAAATGCTCTAAAATTCATTGTGATGATGGCTCCACTTATCTGTGCATATACTAAAAACCATTGACATGTAGACATTAATGTGTGCACTCTACACTATGTAAATTATATCTCAATAAATCCTTTCAGAAATACACAGAAGAGTAAGGGGTTTTGGAATGTTGCAGCTGGGAGGCAGTTTGAAATACTGAATAGGCCTCATCGAGAATGTGAAGTTTCAGTAAAGACTTGAGGAAGTTGAATGAGCTGATCAATGGATATATGGAGGGCTATCTTTCCAAGCCAAGAAATTAACTACAGACTTGGTCATAAGGCAGCAGCCTGTTGGCATGTCCAGAGGACAGTGAGGTGGCCAGGACCACTGGTAAGATCAAGGGTGAAGATATAAAAGAATTTTGGCGATTAACATGCGGCAGATCATGATGGGCTTGCAGACCATTGTAAGAATTGTTGTTTTAGTGTACATGAAATGGGGATTCAAGTCATTATCCCATTTTCAATATTTTAATAAATTGGATCCATGAACCAAATCCAATGAGATTAAATCAATTAATAATAATATGCAAATTTGTATTAAAATTACAAGAATTACTTGCACATTTGAGAACAGGAGAGTCATGATTGTTTATCAGCAATAATAAACATTATGTTTTAATTGTGATCAGCTAATTGAGATTAATTGCAATACAACATGCTGTATGATGTGACTGTCAAAAGGAAAATATGATTGTAATCTTATACTACATCTATCAATGTCTTTGATTCATAAGACTATAGAGTAAGTCCCTAATTTTCAAAGCCAACTGATGAGGCAGTGACATCTTATGCAAGTTTGCTGCTTTCTGCCACAGTGATCCTTGGTCAGCTGGCAGAAATTGTTTTACAAACGCCCCAGTTCTAAAAATAGTTTGGATCACAATGAACACAGAATAACCTTCATCCCTTCAAAAATACCTATCAATTACTTCCAATACAGAATGAAAAACTGACAAAGGAAATATGTGGATTGTAAAAATGCCAGTTAGCTTGCATCTACATGAAAGAAAAATGCCATTTTTATTACATTAGATCATTGTTTTACATGAGTTTTGGCATAGCACAATGTTGAACCAAGGGCAAAGAGAGATGAATTAATGAAGTATTAAGATATCAAGAATTTGAAAGAAAAGGCAGGTCATCTTTGAAGGTTAGTGACATAGCATTCATCTTCTGTTGTCACTTTTTCCGTCATTCCCTCTATACCTGATGGAGAGGTTTCACTCAAGTTCAGAGAACAGCATGCAAAGTTAGCTACCAATTAATCTTTATGAAGTGAGCTGCATTTCTAGCCAGACTGAGCTTACGTATAAGCGGGAAGCATTTTTGGGAAATATTTATGTTAGAGTTTGCCCTTCTTGACAAGGTGAGACATAAATGTCTACTTTAGAGACATGAATTAAGAGGGGAAGATATTTGGGGGAATCATTTACTCAAACGCTAAATAATAAAGGTACACAAAGGGCAAATTATACTAGATTTCTTTCCCACTTGTTTTCTATGTCTCATGCAATTCACCTTGATTCCCTGCAGTTTCTGTTTAATGTAGAAAGTGGCATTTTCATTATTTTAAGATTCTAGCACAATGAGAGAATTTCTCCTTTTCATGAACAGGATCATAAATGAAAGGGAGGAAGAGTGTCCTATATCATATTTATTGTTCAACAAAACACTGCTCCACTGCTTAAATTCAGTTTAAAAAAGAGAATTTGTTGAACATCTAACACATACATAAAAGGCAGTAAAGACAAATGAGAAGAGAGCAGGATATTGAGGTATACAGACTTCAATGTTGAGTTTTATATCTGAGGAAGTTTCTCCAACTTACACAGGCTCAATTTCCCCTGATTTAGGAAGGTGATGCTAATGGGTATTGCATAGGTGTAGGTATAAAAATGTTGCATTTAATAGAATCCCACAAGCTTGGTATAAGGCAGAAAATAAATAGATGTGATATGAATAAGTAGTTTATTACATTTGTATGCTACCTGCGGACTAGAGGAAGCAAGAAACACAGCCACTATGCTTGATTAGCATTATAGAGATGGTACAGTGATGGTTGCCAGAAGCTGGGGGGAGGAAGAAATGGGGAAGTATTGTTTAATGGGTTTAGAGTTTCAGTTTTACAAGGTGAAACCAATTATGGAGATGGATGGTAGGGACGGCTGCACAATATTATGACTATATTTAGTACCACTGAACTGTACACTTAAAATGGTTAACAGAGTACATTTTATGTTATGTGTATTTTACCACAATAAAAAAATAAAATACCTTAGGAACATTTTCATGAAAAAGCCCACATAAAATTCATTTTAATGCACGTGTTTATGCATAGCTTTCTATTTTTCTCTTTTCTCTTTATATTCCAAATTCTAATCAGAGAAGGGAATCCCCTCTGTACCTCCAGGATATTCAGTAAAGACCATTGGAGGTTCATACCCTGGTGACAGTGCTCATTTAGCTCCAAATTACAGATGACTCTAGACTAACTCCACAAAGTTTAAAGAGAAGATTTAAAACAACAACGTACAAATACTCATCCTGAAGTTACTTAACAGCCTGCCACAACATTGTCCAAAGGTAGCCAATAAAATCTGGATATTCATTAGCATAACATCAAAATACCCCCCAAAAAAAAACTCTGACATGCAAAGAAGCCGTAAGATATACATAATTAAGATATATATTAACAGGATAAAAATAAGTCATTTGTAAATGACAGAAAAGAAGGAAATTTCAAGGTCCTTAAAGTAAATATATTTTATAAATACATATAGATAAATACATATATAAGTCAAGATACTTAAATGAAAATTGAACATAGGAGAAAAATAGAGGTTATAAAATGAAAAATGTGACATGTATAGATGAAAAATAAATATTTGAAATAAAAATTCCATGAGATAGAATAAGTAATGGATTTTACCCTAACATCGGAAAATTTATAGAACAAAATAGAAGCTATACAAACTAAAGGACAAAGGGTAAACTAAAATAAGAAAGCCAGAAACTCACTGATAAGTCAGACAATATGCAGCAGTGTAACATACATGTAATTAATATCTCAAAAAGGATGGGTGTTGGAATTATAGGTGAATAAAGAATGGTACACTCATTTCTGAGGGCACCGAGGAGGGAGGATAGCTTTAGATTTCTCAGGGAGGGTATTATCCATTCATGAAGGTCCAACCACATGAACAAACACCTCCCAGTAAGCCCCACTTGCAACATTGGGGATCAAATTTTAACATGAGATTGGAAGGTGCAAGCATTCAAACCATAGCAAGAGTTAAATTTCCTTTTTAAAAAAATCACTGATATGATTCCATTTCGTCATAGGTAAAAGCTAGTATTCCAGCATATCATTGAGTGTGCTTATAGCTCACCAAAAGGGCCCTCTGTGTCGGGAATACAGATTTGCCTAGAGGTATCCTAGTGCAGTCAAAGAAAGAGCAATGAGGGATAGAAAATTGAGTGATGGAGACACCAGAGCTGCATTTTGCAACAAACAATGTAAAAATTTTACGGATTGGTTCTGCTAACTTACTACAGTTTACATTCCTCTCAGGTGGGAGAATTGTTGCGTTTTTTCTCAAGATGGAAAAGCAATTCACATAATATGAAATTTCCACAAGAAGGACAAGAAGCACAGCAGAAATTATTCTAGGCAGGAATTCAATCCTTTCAACTGTCTGTGCTCCATAGAAACAATTGTCTGCACTGGGAGTCATATGAGGTACAGACAACAGCCAGACTTCTGATCCTCTCATTAGTGATTTCAGAAGAAATTAGCAGTCAACTGAGTAAGTCACTGAGGAAAGTAAACATTTGGCACTGAAAGAGGTTAGACGGATAACTATTTGTATCACCATATTCATGAAGCTGGAATATTTTCCATTACTGGTATCACATCCGAATGGAAGATGTTAAAAGGTCTCTCATCTTGTAAGATGGATATGAAAGAACATTTTCTGAGAAATGAAATTATTAACACACCTGCGAAGTGGATGGAAGAGAAAAAAAAGAATAATCACCTTGAGTTCTTCTCCTTGATAAGACAACTCACTAAAAACATAAAGAGAAAAATACAAGTTTAAAATAACCAGCATAAGACGACTCCAGAGTTTTTAAATTGCTGATAAGATTTTAATTTGCTCCAAGTTAAAAATAATTATATTGCTTGTGTTTTAAGGCACATAATGAGCAATTATATCACACATGATAGTTTCAGCAGTAAAATATTCTCCGTTAACACCTGGAACTCATAAAAGCATAGCACAATGTGAAGATGGAATTTGCTAAAATAAGCCATCTGCTGAGAACTACATTTCTGCAAATTTAAAAATAAAGTTTAAATGTTATTTGTCTTATTTAATAGGTCTGTGAAAAAAATGCGCTCTTTGAAAAGTAGCTGCTACCTTAATTAATTCTTTATATTAGATGGCTGGTTACAGTAATGCACAGTAAGGTGCTACATAGATATATTGCTAAATTTTCTGCATATACTCTGTATTTGGCTTAAATTATTTTTAATTTTATTGTTAAAATAACAAATGTATATTTAAGTGTTTTGACACAAATTGCAAGTATACCTTTAAAAAGCGTCTTACACTCTAAATATTATTTGTCACCTATACATTTGTCTTTTCTCTATAGGAAAGTTTAAATTTTCCCTTGAAACTTTAATTATTTGAGTCTATAAAACAAACTGATAATGTACAAATTAACAGAAAAAAAGGTTTACAGATATGTGCACAAGTATGCACTTGGAGTTTACATAATATATATAAATATATCTATACAAATATGTGTATATTATAAATAGATATACAAATATATACTATATATATAAAAACACTAGGAAAGCCAAGGTAGTCAACACGCCTATGCTGTCTTGAGGTTACAGAAAACACAGAGCTGTAGGTTGGTAAATCAGGCTTTGTGGAAGACAGGTGACGACAAGGAAGAAAGAGGAGCCTGGCAGCAGAGGTCGTCTTGTTACATGGATGAAACCTCACAGGGAGCAGCCCTCCTCTTGGGAAGTATAGATAGGAAATGGTTTTTAGAAATGTAAACGTGCCAGACTCAGTTAATCTTTTCTAAACCCAGACAAGGGAGTATCTCAGGGAAAGCCTGTCTACATCAATGCAGACTTTCTCTACAAATATAAATCTCCCCAACAAACACAGCTTTTCAGCTATTCTTGTAGAAGAAGCTATCTCCAGTCTTCCGAGTAGCCATCTTGAAATATGTCAAAAAGCTGGCCAGGCGCATGCCTGTAATCCCAGCACTTTGGGAGGCTGAAGTGGGTAGATCACCTGAAGTCAGGAGTTGCAGACCAGCCTGACCAACATGGTGAAACCCTGTCTCTACTAAATACAAAAAATTAGCCGAGTGTGGTGGTGCATGCCTGTAATCTCAGCTACTTGGGAGGCTGAGCTAGGAGAATTACTTGACCCTGGGAGGCTGAGGTTGCAGTGAGCCAAGATTGTGCCATTGCACTCTAGCCTGGGAAATAAGAGCAAAACTCCATCTCCAAAAAAAATGTATTTTAGGGTAATATTTTGAGTATCTTTACCTCCATATATACAATAAATATTATTGTGATTTTTAATCTTTTCTGTGGAGAAAACACTGGTGTGATTTCTAGTGTAGCTGAACATCGTTTATTTGACAATATTGCACTTGTGTGTGGGTGTGTGCGTGTGCAGTTACTCTTTAATTTTGTTCTCACATAATGATTAGGTATTAACAATTAATTCAGTAAAATGTACGTTTTGCAATATTTCTCCATGTTATCATGCTTTAAATTAGTTTAATCATGCCCCTATAATGTGTACATTTTAACCTTTGACTATAGGTCTCAATCTTACTTTGGTTCCTGTATTTGAATTTATGCTAATAAAGTCCTACAGCTAAAAAAGATTATATAAACTTATCTACATTTTTACTAGTATTCTGGTTTCATTTTAAATTATGTAATGAAATCAAATTTTAATTTGGATGATTGTTATCTGAGTTAAGGATCTAAATTTTTAATTTTCTTATAAATATTACATAATTATTTCTGAACCATATATTGACTAATCTGCCCTTTATATGATGTGCATTATAAGAGCTTGGGGTTGTTTCATTTGCAAAGATGAATGCTTGAGAAGTAGATATTTAATCATAACATTTCAAAATCTACTGGATAACCTAGAATTGAAAAATAGCCTATAGGTTGAAAAACTCCTGTAGTGAAGAAAGAAAATAACTAATAAACAGTGACAATATAAATATTATAAGTATTTATTTTATTATCGCCCTGAAATTTGATAATGCAAACATGTAATATCTACATATCATCCATATATCAGGTCATAAAAAATCAATACATTCTTCAAAAATTTAGCATAACAGAAAATGCACTCTCTCTCCTTGATGGAATTAAGTTACAAATAAAAGTAAAAATAAGTAGATAAGTAGATGGAAGTAGATGTTTAAAAACAAAGAAAAGTATTTGTTTTGGATAACATGAAATCTCAATTGACAATTCCAATATTTCCAGAATTTTGGCTGTCAACTGGTGGAGAGTTTTCCCCAGGAGACATTTGTCAATATCTAGGTTTATTGTGGGGATGTCAAGACTGGTGGAGGTGTGAAATTTAGAGGTCAAACGAAACACCAAGCATTGCTAGGGCAGCCTCCCACAACAAAGAATCCTCTGGTCCTAAAGGTAAGTAGCACCAAGGTTGAGAAACCATAATCTAGACAGTAAACACTACGTAGCTATTCCAAGTGCTCAGAAAAACACATCAGTGCCCTCGAGGGGAAAAGTGTAAACATTTTAATTGCTGTACATGGTGACACAAATCCATGTTGTTAATCTAAGTGGAAGTGGCAGAAGCACAAAACGTAATTCAAAGAGTTTACTTGAGCCAAAATGAGGACAGCTGCCTGGAAGAAACAGACCCAAGTATCCTTGGATATGAACTCCCTTTGGAGCTTTGCAACAAGCAGTTTCTTAAAGGCAAAAAAGGGTCCAGAAGTGGGATGATGCAAAGAGGCTTGTCACAAATTCTCATTGGCTTTTGGAAATAACATTTATTAGTGACTGGCTATACACTGTTACACTATTATTGGGTGTGGATTATAGTGTCTGGTGTGGCGTTATTGGTTAATTTATAGCTACTGTGGCAACAGCACGCAGCCTAGATGAACACACAGCTCAAAGAGGAGCGGGACAGAACTGCTGTCTCATTTGAATATCTCTCTGGGCCTGATTATTTAAAAGGACTTGCATTTCTCAGATGAAAGTTATTTTCTTTTCTCAATGTCCATAAATGAGAATAAATACAGGTAAAATAGATCTTTTTGAGGATGAAGTAAATGGAATGAAAAACAAAACCCAAGCTGACCAGAAATCATAGAGGGAAGAAAAGGTTATAAATATATGGATTTTTCAAAGTGATTTTAAGCTACTAGGAATCAGTTAAATGTTGGGGGGTTTTGTCTGAGAATGGGCTAAAGGAGAATGTCCCTGTTGCCTTCTGAAGTTTCCCTGAAAATCACTAATAGGAGGCAGGTAAATAGTAGAAAAGGCATACAGGTTTCTGCAATGTGTGTACACCGGAGCCCTTAGAACGAAGACCCAGACACACGATGCGTGCAGAAGCTTATCTACCACATGAAGTTTACAGAAAGAATGGGGTCTTGGATCACAGGGAAAAAAAAGAAAGGTTATGTGAGAAAACGACCCTGGCTAGCAACAGTGGACTTATTACCTAGGTGGAACCTCACTGGGAGTAGTCCTCAGAGAAAATAGACAGAAAATGTTTCTTTCAGACCTTTGGAGACCTCAGACTCTCATTTAAGCTTTCCTAGATCCAGACAAGGGGGCAGACCTCAGAGAAAGCCTGTCTGAATCAAAGCAGATTATCTACCTATGCAAATCTCCCCAAGACAGCTTTGCATCTAGGTTTGCATTTCCAGCCCTTCTCAATAGCCATTTTGAAATACATCAAGGAAATATATTTAGGGGTAAAATATATTAGTTTCCTTCATACAGCTATAAAACATACAGGAATACTTTTTGTCAATGTCTACTACAAATCCAATATAGCAGTAATTATAAAACCCACCTGATATTGAAGAAAAAATATGTAGAGTACCTCAATTACAAATGTTGATACTAAAATGCCAAATAAAATAAAAATAATATCCAACAATATTTGAACAGTAAGACAAGAAATTGGCAAAAAAATAAAACAAATATCCACCTTGGGGATGAAAGTGTGTTTCCAAATTTGGTAATCCAATAATATTAATAATCATATTGATTAGCTCCAATTAAAAATAAATAGGGGATTCTCAGTACATGCTAAAATATATTTGTTAAAAGGCAATATTCATGTCTTTAAAGATTTTAAATGCTATAAAGAGTCTGATATTCTATATGCAAACATGTGTAAGTCTATTAGAAGAGAGGCCTGATTTTCATACGTTACTACATGGAGATAGAGAAGTGGATAGATTAATTTTCATATGCATAGAGAAAGCATAAATTAGAAATTGACTATCATATTAAAGGAATTTTAATTCAACCATAAAATAATTCAAAAGTAAACTTTTAAATATTTTTAACAGGTACATTATTAATATTAGAAAATATTTATAATAATTGTGAAAATATTCAATGCTAAAATAAGATAGAATGTCTAAACATCAGTATTAAAACTAGTATAAATATTTGCTTGTTTATACAAAGAAAATTCAAGCTCGACCTAAAATTATATAGGAAATAAAAGAAAAATTTTAAGGGAGCTCTTTAATAACATAAACATATATATTCACACACACATATGACATGTATATATGTTATATGGGATAGATATAGATTTAACATGTTATAAATATATTTGTATCTATAACTACAGCTGTATGTATCTACTTTTCTATATATTTACTCAGTGATATAAATATAGACTGGAGTAAATATAAAGACACATATGATTCTTGGATAAAAAGGATTTAGTATCATAAAGACAAATTCTTTCCAACTTCACTTATGAATTCACAACAGTATACAGTTTCATTAGTATAATTTAAAGTTTTTAAGTAAATTCCAAGATTCATTTAAAGGAATATATATGTATATAAGCAGTCAAGAAAGAAGCAAGAGTGCACTAAACTAACTTGCTATTAAAATACATTTTTCAACTTAGTCACTAAAACTGAGCAGTACTGATTTGGAGTACTGGAATTTAGGTATATGGTATCTCAAAAGCACAGAGCTGAAAGGAGACCACTGTATGCACGAGAGCATAGGATGGGCTTTACAAGGCATTACCAAACCACGGGCAAAGTTCCTTTAGTGTCTTAGTCTTACTAGGTTTGAAAAGCCAGAGAAAAGACTCAAGACCACCATATAAGAGCAAAACAAAAGGACAGGGAGAGAATGTGAAGATAGTGAAACATTTTATATAAAGTTGTATAAAACATCCTTTAAAGAAAATATAAAGTTTAGGATATACATCAAAATCAGCAGAGCCACTAAATAAATAAATAGGCATTGTAAAATTACAAGAGAAAATTTAAATGGATTTCTAAAAAATATTGACACCTATGATTTTTAAAATATGTTTAAGAAATCCCCTATTTCACAGGGCAGCCTTTCACAACAGAGATATGTTAGGACATAAAGGTCCTTCTGTTTTTAATTTACTAGTGTTTATAGGGTTACAAATGTTTTCTACCCTTGTCTTTTGTCTGATGGTGCAAAAAATTTTCATAAGCATGTATTTCTGAATGTCTGACGGATTGACATATATAATATGCTGCTAGTATTAAAATATGTGATGGAAAACGCATCCAATCTTCTCACTGTTTACATAAATTCTAGGTTTCTCCTGTTTACCTGAAGCACGTATGGAGTGAATTCTTACCTTTTAATATTTCCATGCCATTCACGTTGAACATAAGTTGAACTCTCTCATATGGTAGCTGGGTTCAGATTCCCTTGACAATTTCCAGTTCTAACCCTCACAGTTCCTCAGTGTGGCTGGCCCAGATTTTGACCCTACACAGTTGCCTCCTCCTGGTGACTACCAGCTATGGAACCGTTGGATACAACCTACCTGACTCACCCCACAGACTTCACAGCGCACATGGACAGCCCCACACGCCACATTGACCTGCTCGGTTGCAGCGGGAGTCAAGAAATGTGCCTGCTGGCACTCACCCCACAGACAAGTGCCCTGTGGAAAACTTAATTGGGTAATGTTCTGGGCCCAATAAAGGCTGGAGTTCCACAAACCCCTTTTCTCTCTCCTGCTCCCCACTCATCTTCCCCATTTTGTTCAGCCCTATGAGGTGTGCTACTGTATTAGTCCATTTTCACACCACCGGTAAAGACATGCCCAAGACTGGGTAATTTCCAGAAGAAAGAGGTTTAATAGACACACAGTTCCACATGGCTAGGTAGGCCTCACAATCATGGTGCAAGGTGAAAGGCACGTCTCACATGGCAGCAGACAAGACAAGAGAGCTTGTGCAGGGAAACTCCCCTTTATAAAACCATCAGATCTTGTGAGACATATTCACTATCAGAAGAACAGCATGGGAAAGACCTGCCCCCATGATTCAATTACCTCCCACCTGTTCCCTCCCACAACATGTGGGAATTCAAGATGAGATTTGGCTGGGGGCACAGCTAAACCCTCTTCTCAGCTACCCTCTTCTCTCTGGATCTGTGAGTAAGAAACCTACTTCTGTGATTTCCCATGTTTGGTTCTGTGGCCTCCATGGGTCTGAGCTGACCTACACTGGGACCTAACTCTCCTCCTGGCCAGGGTCTCTGAGAGTGGCTCTTGTCAGAAATACACAGGACACAGGTCAGGCAACAGTCACCAGGCATCTCCTAGTCTCAACAGATGTTCTGTGAGAGGGAGGCCAGGTCGTGGGATGCACACCTGGCCACTGCTGGGATAAGGAAGTGTCCTGTGAAAGGCACATGTTAAGCATCCACAACCCCCTGACCAGAACCCCAGAAAGGCAGGGCTCCAATTGACAGTCACTCCCCAGAGACAAACCTCATGCCCTAACTGGAGGAAAAGAAAGCAATGTAAAAAGTTGAATTTATCTTACTATTTCAATGATCCAGTAAAGACATTCTATGCCTGTACACCACATATTTTCTTTGATTGTGGATTTATTTTAGATAGAATTTTATGTCTGGTTTTCACTTTAGCCTGGTCCCTACCTCAAGCATAAGGTAAAGATTTTCCATGGGTCCGTTTCTGGTACTACTACCATGCCCTAGTCTATCTTGAGGGTATCCCCCTGTTCATTATTGTCAGAGTGAGACTGTTAAGTCTTGATTTCCCTGGACAACTTCACTGCATGACTTTTAATATGATTTTTTAATATACCCTTTACTGGACAATAAATTATATAGTTATCTGAGTAAGAGATACGGTCAGGAAGAGGCATTGCCTCATTCAGCTTTTCTCTTTGGTGAACTCGCATATGTTCTCCTCACCCGCCAGTCACCTCTAAACCGTATTGTTCCAAGACAACAAACAGAACTCGAGTGTGTATCTTTCACCACTGGATTTGTGTTTGCTCCATAAAGATTCATGCTTAATAGGGTTTCTGTTAGCATTTTCTCTATTTGTTTTCCCATAAAATATCACAGGCCTTCTTCATATGGAATTATGGGTGATTTCCTTCAATCTGCATCGTATCAAGTTGAGGTTCATGTTGATGAAAAGTAAAACATACATTGAAAATATCAGTAATGATGTTTTCCCCTCCGTTTTAGCACCTGTGCTTGTGATAGAAGCACATTTTAAAACAATTGTAGTCTCATGCTTTGATCATTCCTATGATGAAAATAACATTTTTAGATAAAATATCTGAGTTTCATGAGGCCTTTAGTATGTGATGTGATAGAATATCAGAAGACCATACTTTTTTCTAGTTTTCCATGCAATTCTATAATTGTTTCATCTTTACTCCTACCAGAGTAATTTTCCAAAACAGATATCTTGTCATTCTTCCTGTTGTTATCAGTAAATAAGTGAAATGAAAAGCTAGATTATATAATTTATGTAGAACAAGAAAGTAGAATTGAATCTATAGTCATTAATGAGACTGACCAGTCAATTATCCACATAGACATTTTACATTTTGAAGATCATAAGGACCCATTGTCAGAAATATTATTATTTATGTCTATATGGACATCACCTGTGCATATTTACATAGAAATCAAGGAGAGCTGATTTTTATTTTTATTATATATATTTTTTGAGATAGGGTCTTGCTTTGTTGCCCAGGCTGGAGTACAGTGGTGCAATCACTGCTTACTGCAGCCTCAGCCTCCCAAGCTCAAGCAATCCTTCCACCTTGGCCTCCCAAATAGCTAGGACAACAGGTGCACATCACCATGCCCACCTTTTTTTTTTAACCTTTGATAGAGACTGGGTCTTGCTATGTTGCCCAGGTTACTTTTGAAATCCTGGGCTCAAGGAATCCTCTCATTTCAGCCTCTTCAACTGCTGGTATTACAAGCATGAACCACCATATGGGCTGGAAGCTGATTTTTAAAATACTGAGATCATATAGATGACAGCACCTGCAAAATAGACAACACCAAGCTTTATGTTAAAAGGTGTGAGGGTATCAATATTGTTGTGGCTATTGGGGAGGAAACCATTAGTAAAACCAGTAAGTTAAAGCTCTTGCTTTAAACTTTGGCTTTAATTTAACTAATGTTCTATGGAGTGACAGTATGTATGTAACCATGCTATGCCCATTCACAGATGCAGTAGAGGGAAGAATTTCTCAAAGACAACTGTTCTAAGACTCAAATTAAACCGTACTGGGTTTGAAAAGAGAAAGTCCAGGAATTACCAAATATTTTTGATATCAGATAAAAGAGAATGCCAGGTATGCGATGATAATCAGCAATGCTTGTTCACACAATGCATCAGATCAGTATTTGAATTAGCTTTTGAATTACAAGGACAAATGGTTGAAGTCTAGACTCTTTAGTAGATAAATCTTATTAGGCTGAGATGTGTTTTCCCATGGTTTTCCACAAGGAGATTACAAATTTGCAAACCTCAGCTGCTCTCATTTTATGCTCTCACCAAGCCAAAAGCTGAAGTTCATCAATCAGTGTGTCTAAGTGTTCACTGGTTATATACCATTTTGTAGTTTCAGCTATCTTTCCAACTTCCTACATCATCACCTTCATTTGATCTTGTTTTTTTCCACTATCACTTCTTTATTGACCATATAAACAATATAAGTAAGTTCTTATTTTGTTATTGTTCATTTTAGTCTAATTTCATCAAAAGATCACAATCATTTAATTTCATTTTAATTTCAAAGATTAAATGAAACCTACATAGAAATGAGTGTAAGATTTGCATTTGCATTATTTTGGCATCAATTTGCTATCCTCCCTCATGCACATAGAGATCATTTCCATGTACATGATTTCAAACATCCAAGTGCAGTATTAAAAGCAGTTGTAAATTATGGTTCTCATTTTCATGATACAATTACAATATAAACTTCCTCTTGCTGCTGTAAACAATTGCCACAAACTTCATATCTTACAATAAAGTGACCGTTAATCCTACAGTTCTGTAGTTCAGAAGCCTTAAATGACACTCACAGGGCTAACATCAAGTTTTGGGCAGGGCTGCAGTCTTTCTGAGGGCTATGTGGCAGAATCTATTACTTGATTTTTTTCAGCATCCAGAGGCCACCTTTATTCCTTGGAACATGACCTCATTTTTATATCCTATTTTTCTTTTTTTGTGTGTGATGGAGTCTCCTTCTGTCATCCAGGCTGGAGTGCAGTGGCATGATCTCAGCTCACTGCAACCTCTGCCTCCTGGGTTCAAGTGATTCTTCTGCCTCAGCTTCCTGAGTAGCTTGGACTACAGGCACTTGCCACCACACCCAGTTAATGTTTTGTATTTTTAGTAGGGTTGGGGTTTCACCATGTTAGCCAGGATGGTCTTGATCTCCTGACCTCATGATAAACCCACCCCAGCCTCCCAAAGTGCTGGGATTAGGCATGAGCCACAGTGCTGGGTCCTCATTCTTGTATCTTAAAAGTCAGTGATGTTGAGTAATTTCTCATGCCACCACCTCCAAGGTTGCCTTTCTTCTGCCTTCTTCTTTTACTTATAAGGAAGTTTGTCATTTCATTGATCCCACCCATTTAAGACAATCTCTCTATCATTTTTCCGCAACATTAATTTCACTTGAAATCTAATTTCACACTGCCGTGCAACCTAACATATTTGTATGTTAGAATCTGGGAATTAGGACATGAAAATTTTTGGGAGGCCATTCTTTTGCCTACAGCAGACATAATCTATTTACCTGCACATTAAAGCATTCTTTATTTTTCTGTCTCCCTCTCTTAATTTTTTAAAAATAATATGAATTGTAGTAAAGAGAAAGAAAGAAAAGGAAACAAAGAAAGAAAAAGAAGGAAGGAAAGAAGGAAGGAAGGAAACAAAGAAAGAAAGAAGAAATAAAAGAAGGAGGAAATGAGGGAAGTAAGGGAGTGGGGAGGAAGGGAGAAAGGCAGGAAGGGAGAAAAAAGAATGCATGAACACAAGAAAGAAAGAAAGAGAGAAAGAAAGAAAGAGAAAGAAAGAGAGAAAGAGAGAAAGAAAGAAAGGAGGAAGGGAGGAAGGAAAGGAGGAAGAGAGAATGGTAAAAGGGAGGAAGGCAAAGAAACAAAGAAAATTTAGATGCGAAGGAAGGAAGGAAAAAGAGGAAAGGAAGGGAGGGAGGAAGGAAGAAATGGAGGGCGGGAGGAAGGGAGAAAAAAGGAAAGAAAGCAAGAACGTTAGACAGAAAGAAAGAATATGAGAAAAGAAGGAAGAAAAGGGAGGGAGAAAGGAAGACAGGGAGGAGGGAAGGAAGAATAAGAGGAAAGAAAGAAAGAAGGAAAGAAGGAAGGAAGGAGAAAAAAGAAAGAAAAGAAAGAAAGGAAAAGAAAAAAGAAAAAAGGAAGAGGGAAAGAAGAAAGGAAGGAAGAAGGCAAGGGAAGGGAAGAGAAGAGAAAGGAAGATGGAAAGAAGGAAGGAAGAACACAAATATTAGAAATTCTGGGTTTGTTAGAGAATATGCCATACTGTTTTTTTTCACTTGAAAGGAAAGAGTATCTGCCATTGAAGATTGGATGTCTTGTTGGTGATATTGTTGTTCTTATCTTCCACATGATTACTGAGTTTGTGCCTAGTGTTTACATTACTAAGACAAAAGTGTTGAAGTCTGCAAATATAATTTTGGATTTTTCTAGTTCACCTTTGATTTCTTTCTTGTTTTATCTCATGTATTTGGAGGCTCTGTTGTTACCTGCATACCCTAATTAGTAGGATGTTTACATCTTCTTGAGAATTGATTATTCTATTATCTATTATCTCTCATCTCTGATAGTATTACATGTTCCGAACTCGGTTTTGTCTAATATCAATGTAGTCCTTCCACAGTCTTATCTTAGTGTTTCCATGATATGGCTTTCTCCATATCTTGATGATAACCTATTTATATCTCTGTATATTTGGAGCAAGATAAAAAATTTAGACTTGATTTTTTAAAGATTTTTCAAGATGTAATTCTTATTTCTTTTTGTTCTATTTGACATTCTCTGAGTTTCCTATATCTGAAGTTTGATTTTCCGTCACTTATTTTAGAATAATTTTGGCAGTTATTTTGAAAAATATTTCTTTTGCTCCATTATTTTTCCCTCTTTTCTTTTTGGGATTTCAATCATAACTAGAATAGTTAATTTCATCTCAGTCCTATGCAGGTACTTTTTCTCAGAGTCTCAGGAATGTAGCCTTCTCACACTTCTGTTCTTTTCCTGGCTGTGTTGGTGAGCTCAGTGATATTCCTCCTTCACCTTCAAGAGCAGTTTTGTTTTGTTTTTCCTGTGTTCATACTCCCAGCATCAGGAGTATTCTAAGTGTGGCAGCTTTTGTTGTCTTCCCCTACATGTTAAGCGGAACGTCTTGATCTATTTGGACTCTTATAACAAAATAACATAAACTGGGTGACTAAAAAACAACAGATATTTCTTTTTTCACACTACTTGAGGCTGTAAGATCTCAGGTCAAAATGCTCACAAATTCAGTGTTTGATGAGAGCCAATTTCATGGTTCATAGATGGTGCCTTCTTTCTTTGTCCTCACGTAGTGGAAGGCACACAAGAACTCCATTGAGCTTCTTTTATAAAGGCACTAATCCCATTCATAAGGCTCGACCCCCAAGACCTGGTCACCTCCCAAGTTTTCTGCTCTCCCTGATCTGTGTCATATACAGACTCTATTGAATTCCTTACCAATTGCTTGAGAGATTGCAGTGGGTTTGTGGGGAAAAAGTTTTCAAGATGATGGATCTTTCCCAACTTCTGCAGCTGTCAGCAGTCTCCCAATCTTACCAGTCCCCCTTTGTCTTTAGGAATTTATTGATTATTCCAGCTTTACTTGTCATAGAGGTGTCTATTTGCATCTGTCCAATGTAAGTGCATCTGTCCTTTTTCTCCTTGAAGGTGCAAGTACTCAGGAGTACACTGTTGTTACTAATTACTCAGTATTGGTTGGTACATTGTCAAAGATCAAAAAATATTTTTAATGATTAAAAAATTCTTGGAGGTTGTGTAATGAAGGGTTAATTCTGCAGACATGGCTTTCTAAAACCTTGCGCATTCCAAAGGTCTTCAGGACTGGCCCTTGACAAGCTCCTGGGAGATGATAACCTATGAGCCCTTGGTATATACTGCCTGATGAGAGTCTTTGTATACCTGAAAACGTAGGTCATATCAAATAGCTGATGCTAACAACGTGATTTCTTGTGAGCACCTGTTTCTGTATGCCCATGACTTTTTGTAATGCCATATTAATATGACCTCTCTTAGGGCATAGGGAGGTTGGGAACTAAGTAGCTAAGTTCAGTCACAGGACGCTCGATGCATATGTGGTGGAATCCTAATAAAAACCCTGGACTCAAGACTGACCGAGCTTCCCTAGTTGGCAACGAGTTCACACATGTTGTCTCACACCATTGTAAAGAAAATTAGTCAGTGTGAAGTCCCCACTATGAAAGGACACCTGTAAGCTCACATCTGGTTTGTCCTGGACTCAACTTTATGTGCTTTTATGCTTCTGATTATTTTAATCTGGTTTCTTTCACTGTTAGAAACTATAACCACAGAAAAAATCAGCTTTCTTGAGTTATGTGAATCATTAAACCAAAGGGGGACTTGGGGACCCCCAATAGAAAGTATATATGTTCTTAAAAAGAAAAACAAAAGTGGTTATAGCAGATATTGCCGATGACTTGTCTTCTATGTACTGGACTCAATGTGTTCACCTGAAATTCACCTGTTTCCAGCTAACTGAGAGCTCCCCACATCATGCCTGTCTTTCTGATTTTGGGGCCTGCCTGAAAGCTTCTTGAGGCTAACCAGTGCTTCTCAACCACACATAGGAACAAAGAAGGAGTTAGGGGTGGAGAGTTAATGATTATAAGGCAGTCCTTAAGAAATAAGAGATGGGGATGCTGGAATCCCCATCTTTGTAAAGTTATTTTGAGACAATCTCCATACCTCCATCATTACTGAGCACATAGCAATAACTACTCATTCACACTGGCTTCGTGTTCTGTTTCATTTTCTCCACTTCTGTGCTTTCTCACTCAATTTCTGATTAAAGTATCTGACCCCCGATATTTGTTTCATAGTCTATTTTTGAGGGAATCCAGAGCCAAGAAAATAACAATGGGAGTTTTGCAATGAGGGAGGGTGAGTGTAATCATCAGAAGGTTACCTACCTCACTGGGAACATGAAGGCCTGGAGAGCTTGCTGTTTCAATGGGAGAAACATGTTGAATCTCAGTTGAATACCTATATATATACATGTGTGCAATAAGACGTGCCCTTTACTTATATCAAAGGAAAGTGCTCTTTACCTCTCTTTGTTGTTGTGTTTTTATCACTATTGCCTACACAAGCAGAATATCATACCCAGGATTTAAAGCCCTCTCTGCAGGATTTTCAAGCTCATGTTTTTATCATAAGTCACTCTGCTTCCATGTGTTTTCAATCTAATCCTCATTCCTCTGCTTTTATACCAGAGAATTCATCACTGACTTATTTTTGACTGACCTCCTTCTCGAGCGGTCAAGTACACAATTTCTGCTGTGACTTTTCTCTTAGAGTTCAGTCATATAGCCTCTCACTAGATATCATTTCCTCTTATCTTTCCTAATAATGAATTGTCAGTTAAAACTCAATAATTTTAAGATTGAGCTTACCATCTGCACACACACACACACCATTATTGGTGTATTCTCATAGCCTTGAAACACTAATGTCACGTTGATGTCTGCCTTTTCTTTCTCTGCTACCTCACTCCTCATCCTTAGATTATTCTAAAAGATTCAATTGGATCAAGTTGGCTAATTATATTTATAAGATCCTCTCTAGCCTTACCAACTTTTCATTTAGCAAAATTTAAAAATTTCTGGCAGGAGACTGTTGAAATCCCCATGGATGACTGTGGTTTTACTATTTTACCTTTCATTTTTAATAGGTTTTATATTATGTATTTTGAAGTAATGCTATTGTGTGCATACATATTTCTTATTTACATGACTTCTTGGTGTATTTTCCCCTTTGTCATTTTGAAACATTATTCTTCATCCCCAGTGATATTTCCTGTTCTGATGTCTACTTTGCTCATCACAGTTTTAGGGGGTTTTGGTTTGTTTGTTTTTCTATTATTTGGTTCAAGTAAGTTTCTTATAAGTCTGTTCAATTCCATTTGATGATTCCATTTGATTCCATTCGAGGATTCCACTCGATTCCATTCGATGATTATTCCATTCGAGTCCATTCAATGATTCCATTCGAGTCCATTTGATGATTCCATTCGATTCCATTCAATGATGGTTCCATTAGAGTCCATTCAATGATTCCATTTGATTCCATTCAATGATGATTCCATTAGAGTCCATTCGAGGATTCTATTCAATTCCGTATGATAATGTTTCCATTTGAGTCCACTCGATGATTCCATTCGAGTCCATTCAATGATTTGATCCGATTCCATTCAATGATGACACAATTCGAGTCCATTCGATGATTCCATTCAATTCCATTCTATGATGACTGCATTCGGTTCCATTCGATGATGATTCCAACGGATTCCATTTGATTTCTCCATTCGATTCCATTCCTTGCTTATTCCATTCTATTCCATTAGATGTTGACTACACTAGATTCTATTTGATGATGATTTCATTAGATTCCATTCGATGATGATCGAATTCGATTCTATTCAGTGATGATTCTTTTCGATTCCACTCAATAATTTCATTTGATTCCATTCAAAGTTTCCATTCGATTTCATTTGATGGTGATTCCATTCATATCGAATCGTTGATTCCATTCGATTGCATTCGATGATGATTCCATTTGAGTCCATTTGAAGATTCCATTCTATTCCATGCGATGATGATTCCATCAAGTCCATTTGATGATTCCATTTGATTCCATTAGATGATGACTGTATTCGGTTCCATTCGATGATGATTCTAACGGACTCCATTCGATGACTCCATTCGATTCCATTCATTGATGATTCCATTCTGTTCCATTTGATGATGATTCCATTCGATGGCTCCATTCGATTCCATTCATTGATGATTCCATTTTTGTCCATTTGATGATGATTTCATTCGATTCCATTCGATGATTCCATTTGATTACATTCAATGATGATTCCTTTCACGTCCATTCGATGATTCCATTCTATTCCGTTCGATGATGGTTCCATTTGATTATTCCATTCAACACCATTTGATGTTTTCTTTCGATTCCACTCCATGTTGATTCCATTTGAGTCCATTCAATGAATCCATTCGAGTGCATTCCATGATTTCATTTGATTCCATTTGATGATATTTCCATTCAATTCCATTCGATGATTCCATTTTATTTCATTCAATGATTATTACATTAGACTCCATTCGATGATTCCATTCAATTCCATTCGATGATTATTCCATTTGATGCCATTCAATGATTCCATTTGATTCCTTTCGATGATTATTCCATTCGAGTCCATTCAGTGATTCCTTTTGATTCCAATTGAAGATGATTCCATTCGATTCCATTAGATACCATTCAATACCATTCATTGATGATTCCATTTGAGTGCATTCCATGATACCATTCGATCTCAGTGATGAATCCATTGGATTTCACTCGATGATTCCATTCAATTCCATTCTATGATGATTCCATTCGAGTCCATTTGATGATTCCATTTGACTCCATTTGATGATGATTCCATTTGATGATTCCATTCAATGATTCCATTCGATTATATTCGATGACGTTTCCTTTTGATATCGTTCGATGCTGATTCCATTCAATTCTATTAGATTATTCCATTTGATTTCCATTCGATGATTCCATTGGATTACATTTGAGGATGATTCCATTCGATTCCTTTCGATGATTCTATTTAATTCCATTTGATGATGATTCCATTCGATTCCTTTCGATGATTCTATTCAATTCCATTTGATGATGACTGCATTCGATTCCATTTGATGATTACTTTTGACTCCATTTGATGATGATTGCAATCGATTATGTATGATGATTCCATTCTATTCCATTCGATGATTCCATTTGATTCCATTCGATAATGATTCCATTTGAGTTCATTCGATGTTTCCATTTGAGCCCATTTGTTAATTCCATTTGAGTCCAATCCATGAATCCATTCGAGTCCATTCAATAATTCCATTTGAGTCCATTCAATGATGATTCCGTTCATGTCCATTTGATAATTCTTTTTAAGTCCATTCAATGATGATTCCATTTGAGTCCATTTGATTATTCCATTCGATTCCATTTGATGATGATTAAATTCGAGTCCATTCAATGATTCCATTTGATTTCATTCGATGATGATTCCATTTGATTCCATTGAATGATTCCATTCTATTCCATTTGATGATGATTCCATTCGAGTCCTTTCAATGATTTCATTCGGGTTCATTTAATGATTCCATTGAGTTCAATATGATAATGATTACATTGGCTTCCATTCTATGATTCCATTCGATTCCTTTCATTGATGATTCCATTCGATTTCATTCAATGATGATTCCATTTGATTTCTTTCGATGATTATATTTGATTCCATTTGATGAAGATTCAATTCTATTACATTGGATGATTCCATTTGATTCCATTCGATGATGATTCCATTCAATGATGATTCCATTCAATTACATTGGATGATGAATCCATTAGATTCCATTCAATGATGATTCCATTCTATTCCATTTGATGATGATTCCATTCAACTTCATTCAATGATGCCGTTCGATCCCATTTCATGATGACTGCATTCGATTCCATTAGACGATTACATTTGATTCCATTCGATGATGATTGCGATTGATTTTGTATGATGATTCCATTCTATTCCATTCAATGATTCCATTTGATTCCATTCGATAATGATTCCATTCGAGTCCATTCGATGATTCCATTCGAGCCCATTTGTTAATTCCATTTGAGTCCAATCCGTGATTCCATTCAAGTCCATTTGATAATTCCATTTGAGTGTATTCAATGATGATTCCATTCGTGTCCATTTGATAATTCTTTTTGGGTCCATTCGATGATGATTCTATTTGAGTCCATTCGAAGATTCCATTAGAGTCCATTCGATGATTCCATTCGATTCCATTCAATGATGATTCCATTCAAGTCCATTCGATGATTCCATTTGATTTCATTCTATGTTGATTCCATTTGATTCCATTGAATGATTCCATTCTATTCCATTTGATGATGATTCCATTCGAGTCCATTCAATGATTTCATTCGGGTTCATTTAATGATTCCATTGAGTTCAATACGATGATGATTACACTGGCTTCCATTCTATCATTCCATTCGATTCCTTTCATTGATGATTCCATTCCATTCCATTCCATGACGATTCCATTCAATGCCATTCGATGATTCCATTTGATTCCATTTGTTGATGATTCCATTCGAGTCCATTCCCTGATTCCATTAGATTCCATTTGAAGATGATTCCATTCGAGTCCATTCGATGATTCCATTCAATTCCATTCGATGATGATTCCATTCAGTCCATTCGATGATTCCATTCGATTCCATTCGATGATGATTCCATTCGAGTTCATTAGATGATTCCATTCGAGTCCATTTGATTATTCCCTTAGATATGATTCTTTGATGATTCTATTCGAAGCCATTCGATGATTCCATTTGGTTCCATTTGATGATATTTCCATTTGAGTCCATTCGATGATTCCTTTGGATTCCATTCAATGATGATTCCATTCGTGTTCATTCAATGATTCCATTTGATTCCATTCAATGATGATTCCACTCGAGTCCATTCGATGATTCCATTCGATTCCATTTGATGATGATTCCTTTTGAATCCATTCTATGATTCCATTTGATTCCATTCGATGATCTCTTCATTCAATTCAGTGATCCCATTGGATTCCATTCGATGATGATTCCATTAGATTCCTCTCCATGATGGTTCCATTCGTTTCTATGTGTTGATGATTCCGTTAGATTCCATTCAATGATTCCATGCGATTCAATTTGTTGATGATTGCATTTGATTCCATTTGATGATGATTCCATTCGATTCCATTCGATCATGAATCCATTTTATTCCATTCGATGATGATTACATTTGATTTTGTTCGATGATTCTATTTGATTCCATTCGATGATGATTCCATTCTCTTCCATTAGATGATTCCATTCCATTCTATTCTATGGTGATTCTATTCGACTCCATTTGATGATGATTCCATTTGATTCCATTCGATGACGACTCCATTCATGTCCATTCGATGATTCCACACAGTTCTATTCGATGATGATTCGAAACGAGTCCGTTGGATGATTCCATTTGATTCCATTGGATGATGATTCCTTTCAATGCCATTCAATGATTCCCTTCAATTTCATTTGATGATGATTCCATTCGATTCCATTCGATGATTCCATTCGATGATGATACCATTCGATGCCATTCAATGATGATTACATTCGATTTCATTCAATGATTCTATTTGATTCCATTCGATGATGATCCCATTCTATTCAATTCTATGATTCCATTCGATTCCATTTGATGATGATTCCATTCGATTCCATTCGATGATGATTACATTCGATTCCATTCAATGTCAATTCCATTTGGTTGCATTCGATGATGATTCCATTTGGGTCCATTCGAAGATTCCATTCGATTACATTGCATTACGATTCCGTTCGCGTCCATTCGATGATTCCATTCGACTCCATTTGACGATGATTCCATTTGATGCTATTCTATGATTCCATTCGATGTTATTCTATGATTCCATTCGATGCTGTTCTATGATTCCATTCGATTTCATTCAATGATGATTCCGTTCGAGTCCATTCATTGATTCCATTTGACTCCATTCGATGACGATTCCATTCGATGTTGTTCTGTGATTCCATTTGATTTCATTCAATGATGATTCCATTCAACTCCTTTAGATGATTCCATTCCAGTTCATTTAATTATTCCATTAGATTCCATTCGATGATGATTCCATTCAAATCCATTTGATGATTCCATTCAATTCCATTGGATGATGATACTATTCGAGTCCATTCGATGATGACTGCATTCGATTCCATTTGATGATTCCATCTGATTCCATTTGACGAAGATTCTGATCGATTCCATTCGATGATTCCATTCAATTCCATTTGATTATTCCATTTCATTCCGTTCCATAATGATTCCATTCGAGTCCATTTGATGATTCCATTCTAGCCCATTCAATAATTCCATTTGAGTCCAATCCATGATTCCATTCGAGTCCATTCGATCATTCCATTTGAGTCCATTCGATGATGATTCCATTCGAGTCCATTCAGTGATTCCATTCGAATCCATTCAATAATTCCATTTCAGTCCATTCAATGATGGCTTTTGATTCCATTCAACGATAGTCCTTTTGAGTCCATTCAATGATTCCATTCGATTCTATTCGATGATGATTCCTTTCATCTCCATTCAGTGATTCCATTTAATTTCATTCGATGATGATTCCTTTCGAGTCCATTAGATGATTCCTTTTTAGTCCATTAGATGATTCCTTTCGAGTCCATTAGATGATTCCTTTCAATTCCATTAGATGAGGATTCCATTCGAGTCCATACAGTGATTCCATTCGATTCCATTTGATGATGATTCCATTTGATTCCATTCGATGATTTCATTTGATTCCATTCAATAAAGATTTCATTAGATTCCATTCAATAATGATTTCATTTCAGTCCGTTGGATGATTCCGTTTGATTCCATTCGATGATGTTTCCTTTCGATTCCATTTGATGATTCCATTTGATTCCATTCAATGATGATTTCATTCGGGTCCATTCGATGTTTCCATTGGATGCCATTCAATGATGATTCCATTCGAGTCCTTTTGATGATTCTATTCAAATCTATTTGATAATTGCTTTTGATTATATTCCATGATGATTCCATTCAAGTCAATTCAATGATTCCATTCGATTCCATTCGATGATGATTCCATTCGAGTCCATTTGATGATACTATTTGATTCCATTCTCTGATGATTACATTCGAGTCCATTCGATGATTCCACTCGATTCCATACTATGATGATTCTGTTCGATTCCATTCGATGATTCCATTCTATTCCATTCAATGATGATTCCATTCGAGTACATTAGATGATTCCATTTGATTCCATTCGATGATGATTCTATTGGTGCCCATTAGATGATTCCACACAATTCCATTCGATGATGATACTCTTCAAGTCCATTCGATGATTCCATTCGATTCCATCCAATGATGATTCCATTCGATTCCATTCATTGGTGATTCCATTCATTTCCATTCATTGATTCCATTCCATTCCATTCGACAATGATTCCATTCGATTCCATTCAATGATTCCACTCAATTGCACTTGATGATGATTCCATTTGATTCCATTCTATGATTCCATTTGATTCCATTCAATGATGATTGCCTTCGATTCCATTCTATGATTCCATTCAATACCATTCGATGATTTTTCCTTTTGATTCCATTTGATGATTCCATCTGACTCTATTCGAGGATTCCATTCGATTCCATTAGATGATAATTCCATTCGAGTCCATTCGATGACTTCATTCAAGTCCATTCAATGATTACATTCGAGTCCATTTGATGATTCCATAATGTTCCATTTTATGATGATTCCATTAGAGTCCATTCGATGACTCCATTCGAGTCCATTTAGTAATTCCATTCGAGTCCATTCAATGATTCCATTTGATGATTCCATTCGAGTCCATTTGATCATTACGTTCGAGTCCATTCAGTGAATCCATTCGATTTATTTTCATGATGATCCCATTCATTTCCATTTCATGATGATCCCATTCGATTCCTTTTGATGGTGATTCCAATTGAGTCCATTCGATGATTTCATTGGATTCCATTCAATGATGATTCCATTCGAGTCCATTCGATGATTCCATTCGAGTCCCTTCGTTGATTCCTTCCAATTTCATTTGATGATGATTCCATTCGAGTCCATTTGATGATTCCATTCAATTCCATTTGATGATGCCATTGGAGTCCACCTGATTATTCCATTAGAGTCCAATCGATGATTCCATTTGATTCCTTTTGATGATAATTCCATTTGAGTCCATTTGATGATCATTCCCTTCGATTCCATTCAATGATTCTGTTCGATTCTATTCGATGATTCCCTTCGATTCCTTTCCATGATGATTCCATTCCATTCCATTCAATGATTCCATTTGATTCTATTCCATGATGATTCCTTTCGATTCCATTCGCTGATGATTCCATTCTATTCAATTTGATGATGACTGCATTCGGTTCCATTCGATGATGATTCCAAAGGATTCCATTCGATTTCTCCATTCGATTTCTCCATTTGATTCCATTCGTTGATGATTCCATTTGGTTCAACTCGAAGATGAATCAATTTGGCTCCATTCAATGATGATTTCATTCAAGTCAATTCGAAGACGAATCAATTTGCTTCCATTCAATGATGATTCCATTGGATTCCATTCGATGATTCCATTCGGTTCCATTTGATGATTATTCCATTCGAGTAAATTCAATGATTCCCTTCGATACAATTCGATGATGATTCCATTCGAGTCCATTCAATGATTCCATTCAAGTCCATTTGATGATTCCCTTCAATTCCATTCAATGATGGTTCCATTCGAGTCCATTCCATGATTCCATTCGATTTCATTCGATGATGATTCTGTTCAAGTCCATTTGAAGATTCCATTCGATTGCATTCGATGATTCCATTCTATTCCATTCGATGATGATTCCATTTGAGTCCATTCGATGATTCCATTCGATTCCATTTAATGATCCCATTGGGTTCAATTCGACGATGACTACACTGGATTCAATTTTATGATTCCATTCATTGATGATTCTGTTTGATTCCATTCGATGATTCCATCTGAGTCCATTTGATGATTCCATTTGAATCCATTCAATGATGATTTCTTTGGATTCCATTTGATGATGATTCTATTCGACTCCATTTGGTGTTGACTCTTTTCGATTCCATTCGATGATGATTCCATTCGAGTCCGATCGATGATTCCATTTGATTGCATTTTATGATGATTCCATTCGATTCGATTTGATGATTCCATTCGATTCCTTTCAATGATTATTCCATTCAAGACCATTCGGTGATTTATTCTGATGCCAATTAAAGATTATTCCACTTGATTCCATTCGATGATACCATTCATTGATGATTCCATTTGAGTGCATCTGATGATACTATTCACTTCCATTCGATGATGGTTCCACTCGATTCCATTCGATGATTCCATTCAATTCCATTCTATGATGATTCCATTCAAGTCCATTTGATGATTTCTTTGGACTCCATTAGATGATGATTCCATTCGATGATTCCATTCGATTCTATTCGATGATGGTTCCATTCGGGTCCATTTGATGATTCCATTCGATTGCATTCGATGATGATTCCATTCGATTCCATTCAATGGTGATACCATTTGTGTCCATTGGGTGATTCCATTCGATTTCATCCGATGATGACTCCATTCGAGTACACTCAATGATTCCATTCAAGTCCATTGGATGATTTCTTTCGATTCCATTCGATGATGTTTCCATTCGAGTCCATTTGATGATTCCATTCAAGTCCATTCTATGATTCCATCTGTTTCCATTTGATGATGATTCCATTCGAGCCCATTCGATGATTCCATTCGATACCATTCCATGATGATTCCATTGAAGCACAGTTGATGATTGCATTCATGTCCATTTGATGATTTCATTCGATTCCATTCGATTACGATTCCATTCATTTCCAATCGATGATGATTCCATTTGATTCCATTCGATGATGATTCCATTCAATTCCATTCGATGATGATTCCATTCTCTTCCGTGCGATGATTCCATTCGATTCCATTCAATGACGACTCTATTCGATTCGATTTCATAATGATTCCATTCAATTCCATTCGGTGATGATTCCATTTGTGTCCATTCGATGTTTCCATTCAATTCCATTCAATGAGTATTCCATTCGTGTCCTTTAGAAGATTCCATTTGATTCCATTCGATGATGATTCCATTTTATCCCATTCAATTATTCCATTTGATATCATTCGATGATGATTCCACTGATTTCCTTTGATGATTCCTCTCCATTCCATTCGATGATTATACCATACGAGTCTGTTCGATGATTCCGTTCGATTCCATTCGATGATGACTCCATTCCTGTCCATTCCATGATTTAATGCAATTTCATTTGATGATTACATTTGATTCTATTCGATAATTCCATTCGATTCCATTTGATGATAATTCCATTCCAGTCCATTCGATGATTCCATTCGAGTACATTTGATTATTACATTCGATTCCATTTGATGATGATTCCATTAGAGTCAATTTGATGATGCCATTTGATTCCACTCGATGGTGATTCCATTCGTGTCCATTCGATGATTCCATTTGATACCATTCGATGATGATTCCTTTTGAGTCCATTCAGTGATTCCATTCAAGTCCATTCAATGATTCCTTTTGATTCCATTCGATGATGATTTCATTCGAGACCATTCAATGATTCCATTTGATTTCACTTGATGATGATTCCATTTGAGTCCATTTGGTGATTCCATTTGACTCCATGTAATGATTCCATTGGGTTCAATTCGATGATGATTACATTGGATTCCATTCAATGATTCCATTTGATTCCATTCATTGATTATTCCATTCGATTCCTGTCAACGATGATTCCATTTGATTCCATTTTTGATGATTCCATTTGATTCCATTTGATGATGATTCGATTTGATTCCATTCGATGATGATTCCATTCGATTCCATTTCATGATGATTCCATTCGATTTCATTTGATGATTCTATTCGATTCCATTCGATGTTAATTCAATTCTGTTCCATTCGAGGATTCCATTCGATTCCATTCGATGTTGATTCAATTCTATTCCATTTGAGGATTCCATTCGATTCCATTCGATGTTGATTCCCTTCGATTGCATTCAATGATTATTCCATTCGAGTGCATTCGAAGATTACATTCGATTCCATTCGATCATGACTCCATTCGAGTCCATTCGAAGTTTAGATTTGATTCCATTCGATGATGATTCTGTTCAAGTCCATTCGATGATTCCATTCCATTCCATTTGATGATGATTCTGTTCGATTCCATTTGATGATGATTCTGCTCGATTCCATTTGATGACGATTCCATTCGATTCCATTTGATAATGATTCCATTGGATTTCATTTGATGATTCCATTTGTTTCCTTTCAGAGATAATTATATTCTATTCCATTCGATGATTCCATTCAGTTCCATTCGATGAGGATTCTATATGATTCCATTTGATGATGACTCCATTTGATTCCATTCCATAATGATTCAATTCGTGTCTATTCGATGTTTCCTTTCGATTCCATTCAACAATGATTCCATTTGAGTCTGTTAGAACATTCCATTCGATTCCTTTCAATGATGATTCCATTCGATGATTCCTTCCTATTTCATTCGATGATGATTCCATTCGAATCCATTTGATAATTCCATTTGAGTCCATTCGATGATTACTTTTGATTTCATTCGATGATATTCCATTCGAGTCCATTCGGTGATTCCATCAGATTTGATTCGATGATGATTCAATTCGTGTCCATTCATTGATTCCATTCTATTTCATTCGATCATGATTCCTTTCGAGTCCATTAGATGATTCCATTCGATTGCATTTGATTATGATTCCATTCGCGTCCATTCCGTGATTCCATTCAATTCCATTTGATGATGATTCCATTCGATTCCATTCAATGATTCCATTCGATTCCATTTGATGATGATTTCATTCGAGTCCATTCAATGATTCCATTTGATTCCATTTGATGATGATTCCATTCGAGTCCATTTGATGATTCCATTTGATTCCATTCTCCAATGATTACATAGGAGTCCATTCGATGATTCCACTCGATTCCATACGATGATGATTCCATTGAATTCCATTCGATGATGATTCCATTCAATTCCATTCATTGGTGATTCCATTCAATTACATTCATTGATTCCATTCCATTCCATTCGACAATGATTCCATTCAATTCCATTCGATGATTACACTCAATTCTACTTGACGATGATTTCATTCAATTCCATTCGATGATTCCATTTGATTCCATTCGATGATGATTGCCTTTGATTCCATTCAATGATTCCATTCGATTCCATTTCATAATTGCATTTGATTCTACTCGAGGATTCAATATGATTCCATTCAAAGATGATTCCATTCTATTCCATCTGATGTTTTTATTTGAGTCAATTCAATGATTCCATTCGAGTCCATTTGATGACTCCATTAGATTCCATTCAATGATGATTCCATTAAGGTCCATTTTAATGATTCCATTCGAGACCATTCGATAGCTCCATTCGAGTCCATTTGATGATTCCATTCGATTCCATTTGATGATTCCATCCGATTCCGTTTGATGATGATTCCATTCGAGTTCATTCAATCATTCCTTTCGATTCCATTCGATGATTCCATTGTAGTACATTCGATTATTCCATTCGAGTCCATTCACTTATTCCATTCGAGTCCATTCACTTATTCCATTCGAGTCCATTCAATGACTCCATTCAATTCCATTCTATGATAATTTCATTCGAGTCCATTCGATGATGATTCCATTTGATTCCATTCTATGATTCCTTTTGATTCCTTTCGATGATGATTGCATTCGATTCCATTCGATGATGGCATTCGTTTCCATTCAATGATGATTCCAGCAGATTCCATTCGATTTCTCCATTCGATTCCATTCGTTGATGATTCCATTCAATTCCATTAGATGATGATTCCATTAGATTCCATTCAATGATGATTCCATTCGATTCCATTCTATAATTCCATTTGATTCCATTTGATGATGATTCCATTCATGTCCATTCAATGATTCCATTTGATTTCATTCGATGATGATTCCATTCGAGTCCATTCAATGATTCCATTCAAGTCCATTTGATGATTCCTTTCAATTCAATTCCATGATGATTCCATTCGAGTACATTCAATGATTCCATTTGATTCCACTTGATGATGATTCCATTCGAGTCCATTCAATGATTCCATTTGATTTCATTTGATGATGATTCCATTTGATTCCATTTGATGATTCCTTTGTATTCCATTCGACGATGATTCCATTCGAGTCCATTCGATGAATCCATTTGAGTCCATTCAATTATGATTCCATTTGATTTCATTCGATGATTCTATTCGATGGTGATTCACTTCTATCACATTGGATGATTCCATTCGATTCCATTTGATGCTGATTCCATTCGATTCCATTCGATGATGATTCCATTTGATTCTATTTGATTATTATTCCATTTGATTTCATTCGATGATTCTATTCGATTCCATTCGATGATGATTCCATTGGATGATTCCTTTTTATTCCACTCGATGATGATTCCTTTCAATTCCAAACTATGATTATTCCAATCAATTCCACTCGATGATGATTTCGTTCGATTTCATTCGATGATTCTATTTGATTCCATCCGATGATGATACAATTCTATTCCATTGGATGATTCCATTCAATTCCATTCAATGATGGTTCCATTCGAATCCATTCGATGATGATTCCATTTGACTGCATTCTATGAAGATTTCAATCGAGTCCATTCGTAGATTCCGTTCAATACCATTTGATGATGATTCCATTCAAGTCCATTTGAAGATTCCATTAGGTTCCATTTGCCAATGATTCCATTCGAGTCCATTTGATGATTCCATTCAATTCCATTTGATGAAGATTCCATTTGAGTCCATTCAGAGATTCCATAAGATGATGATTCCACTCGAGTCCATTTGATGATTCCATTCAAGTCCATTCGATTATTCCCTTAGATTCCATTCATTGATGATGCTATTCAATGACATTCGATGATTCCATTTGACTCCATTCGATGATGTTTCCATTCGAGTCCATTTGATGATTCCACTTGAGTCCACTCAATGACACCTTTCGATTCAATTCGATGATGATTCCATTAGAGTCCATTCTATGATGATTCCATTCAAATCCATTCAAAGATTCCATTTGGTTCCATTTGATGATGATTCCATGGGATTCCATTTGATGAATCCATTCGATTCCACTCATTGATGATTCCATTTGATACCATTCGATGATGATTCCATTCGATTCTCTTAATTAATTATTCCAATAGATTCCAATCGATGATGATTCCATTCAACTCCATTCGATGGTGAATCCATTCGATTTCATTCAATGGTTCCATTTGATTACTTTCGATGATGATTCCATTCGATTCCATTCGATGATTCCATTTGATGCCATTCGAAGATGATTCCATTTGATTCCATTCAATGATTCCATTTGACTCCATTCAATTATGAGCCATTCAATTCAATTCCATCATGATTCCATTTGATTCAATTCGATCATGTTTCCATTTGATTCCATTCGATGATGATTCCATTAGATTGCATTCGATGATGATTCCATTCGAGTCCATTCATTGATGTTTCCATTTGAGTCCGTTCATTGATTATTACTTTGGATTTCATACGATGCTTCTATTTGATTCCATTCGATGATGATTCCGTCTCATTCCATTCGATGATTCCATTCGATTCCATTCATTGATGATTCCATTCGATTCCATCAGATGATAATTTCATTTGATTCCACTCGATGATGATTCCATTAGAGTCGATTTGATGATTCCACTCGTGTCCAAACGATGATTCCATTTGATTCCATTTGATGATGATTCCATTAGTGTCCATTCGATGATTCCATTTGATTTCATTTGATGCTGATTCCACTCGAGTCCATTTGATGATTCCATTCAATTCCAATTGATGATGACTCAATTCGTGTCCATTCGATGAATCCATTCAATTCCATTTGATGGTGCTTCCATTCGAGTCAGTTAGTTGATTCCATATGATTCCATTCTATGATCATTCCATTTGAGTGCATTCAATGATTCCATTTGATTCCATTGGATGAGGATTCCATTTGATTCCATTCAATGTTGATTCCATTTGGGTGCATTCAATGATTCCCTTTTATTCCATTTGATGATGATTCCATTCGAGTCCATTCAGTGATTCCATTTGATTCCATTCGATGATGATTCTATTTGATGATTACATTTGATTCCATTTGATGATGATTCCATTCGAGTCCGTTTGGTGATTCCATGTGATTCCATTCGATGCTGATTTCTATTGCATTCAATGATGATTCCATTCGGGTACAATAGATGTTTCAATTCGATGATGATTATATTCCTGTCCATTACATGATTCCATTCCATTCCATTAAATGATGATTCCATTCTATTGAATTCTACGATGATTCCATTCAGATCCATTTGATGATTCCTTTGGATTCCATTTGATGATGATTCCATTATATTCCATTCGATGATGATTCCATTCTATTCCATTCAATGATGATTCCATTCGGGTCCATTAGATGATTCCATCTGATTCCATTCGAGATTATTCCATTATATTCCATTCGATGATGATTCCATTCTATTCCATTCAATGATTCCATTCGGGTCCATTAGATGATTCCATTTGATTCCATTCAATGATGCTTACCACTCTATTCCATTCAATGATGAATCCATTCGTGTAAATTAGATGATTCCATTGTATTCCATTCGATGATGATTCCAATTGGGTCCATGCGATGATTCCATTCTACCCCATACCATGAAGATTCCATTCAAGTCCATTCGATGTTTGTATTTGAGTACATTCAATGATTTTTTTCAAGTCCATTCGCTATGATTCCTTTCGATTCCATTTGATGATGATTACATTCGATATCATTCTGTGATTCCATTCAATTCCATTCGAAGGTGATTCCATTCGATTTCATTCTCTGATTCTATTTGATTCCACTTGATGATGATTCCATTTGATTCCATTCAATGATTCCATTTAATTACATTTGAGGATGATTCCATTAGATTCCATTCTATGATTCCATTCAATTCTATTCAATGATGTTTCCATTCGAGTCCATTCAATGATTCCTTCTGATTCTATTCGATTATGATTCCATATGAGTCCATTCAATGGTGATTAAATTCGATGCTATTCAATGATTCCATTTGATTCCATTCAATGATGATTGCACTCGATTCCATTCGCTCATTCCATTCCATTCCATTCAAAGATGATTCCATTCAATTCCATTTGATAATTCCATTCGATTCCGTCCAATGATTCCAATGGATTTTATTTGATGATGATTCCATTCGAGACCATTCACTAATGCCATTCAATTCTATTCGATGATGATTCCATTTGAGTGCATTCAATGATTCCAATCGGTTCCATTCAATGATGATTCCATTCAAGTCCATCTGACGATTCTATTCAATTCCATTCTATAATGATTCCATTAGAGTCCATTTGATGGTTCGATTCGAGTCCTTTTGATTATTCCATTCGATTCCATTTGATGATGATTCAGTTTGAGTCAATTCGGTGCTTCCCTTTGAGTCCATTTGATGATTCCATTCGAGTCCATCTGATGATTCCATTCGATTCCAGTCTATGATGATTCCGTATGATTTCATTCAATGATGATTCCATGTGATTCCATTCGATGATGGTTCCTTTCGATGCCATTCGATTATGATTCATTTCGAGTTCATTTGACGATTCCACATGATTCCATTTGATGATGATTCCATTCGAATCCATTCGATGACTCCATTCGATTCCATTTGATGATGATTCCATTTGAGTTCATTCGATGATTCCATTCGATTCCATTCCATGATAATTCCATTCGAGTCCATTCGATGATTGCATTCGAGTCCATTCAATGATTCTTTACGATTGCATTCAATGATGATTCCATTTGAGTTCGTTCGATGATTCCATTCAATTCCATTCAATGGTAATTCCATTCGAGTCCATTCGATGATACCATTCTATTCCATTCGATGATGATTCCTTTCGTGTCCATTCGATGATAGCCTTTGATTCCAGTCAATGATTCCATTCGATTCCATTCGATGATGTTTCCGTTCGAGTCCGTTCAATGATTCCATTCGATTCCATTAGAAGATAACTGCATTCAGTTCCATTTGAATACTCCATTCGAGGATGACTGCATTCGGTTCCATTCGATTATTCCATTTGATGATTCCGTTTGATTCCATGCAATGTTTCCATTTGATTCCATTCCATGATTCCTTTTGATTCCATTTGATTATGATTCCATTCGAATCCATTTGATGATTCCATTCTAGTCCCTTCGTTGATTCCATCTAATTCTATTTGATGATGATTCCATTCGAGTCCATTAAATGATTCCATTCGATTCCATTCATTGATGATTCCTTTTGATTCCATTTGATGATTCTATTCTATTCCATTCAATGATGATTCCATTCGATTCTATTCTATGATTACATTCGATTTCATTTGATGATGAATCCATGTGAGTCCATTCGATGATTCCATAAGATTCCATTCGATTATGATTCCATTCAAGTCCATTCGATGATTCCATTCATTTCTATTTGATGACGATTCCACTGGATTTCATTCATTGATTCCATTTGATTCCATTCATTGTTGATTCCATTCGATTCCATTTGATGATGATCCCATTGGATTCCATTTGATGATTCCATTCGAGTCCATTCAAAGATTCCCTTTGAGTCCACTCTTTGACCCCATTCAATTCCATTCTGTGATGATTGCATTCGAGTCCATTCAATGATTCCATTCAATTCCATTTGATTATTCCTTTCGATTCCATTTGATGATGATTCAATTCGATTCCATTCAATGTTTTCATTCCATTCCATTCGATGATGATTCCATTCGAATCCATGTGATGATTCCATTCGATTCCATTTGATGATGATTCCATTCGAGACCATTTGATGATTGAATTCAAGTCCATTCAATGATTTCATTTGAATCCACTCAGTAATGATTCCTTTCGTGTCCATTTGATGATTACATTCGAGTCTGTGAGATGATTCCATTCAATTCCATTTAATGATGATTCAATTCGTGGCCATTCGATGATTCCATTTGAGTCCATTCGGTGATTCCCTTGGATTCCATTCGATGAGGACTCCATTCGAGTCCATTCAATGATTCCATTAGATTCCATTCAATGATGATTCCATTGGAGTACATTCAAAGATTCCTTTCTAGTCCATTTGATGATTCCATTCAATTCCACTTGATGATGTTCCCTTTTGAGCCAATTCAATGATTCCTTTCAAGTACCTTCAATGATTCCATTAGATTCCATTCGATGATGATTCCATTCGAGTCCATTCAATGATTCCATTTGGTTGAATTCAATGATTCCATTCGATTTCATTCAATGATGATTCCATTCTAATACATTCGGTGATTCCATTTGATTGCATTCGAGGATGATTCCATTCAACTCCATTCGATGATTCCATTTGATTCCATTTCATGATGATTCCATTCAATTCCATTCGATGACGATTCCATTCTATTATTTTCGATGATGATTCCATTCGAGTACATTCGATGATTCCATTTGATTCAATTCGATGATGATTCCATTCGAGTCCGTAGATTATTCAATTCAATTCCATTCAATGATTCCATTCGAGTCTGTTCGATGATTCTATTTGATTCCATTTGATAATTCCATTCGATTCCATTTGATGTTGATTACATTCGAGTCCATTCGATCATTATTCCATTCGATTCTATTTGATGATTCCATTCGATTCCATTTGATGAATATTATATTCGAGACCATTCGATGTTTCCATTCAATTCATTCGATGATGATTCCATTCAATTCCATTCAATGATTCCAATAGATTCCATTAGATGATAATTCCATTCGATTCCATTCGATGATGATTCTATCAGAATCCTTTCGATGATGTCTCCTTTTGGTTCCATTCAATGATGATTCCATTTGGTTACATTCGATGATGATTCATTTGGATTCTGTTCAATGATGTTTCCATTCAATTCCATTTGATGATTATTATTTTTGATTCCATTCGATGATGACTCCATTTGATTCCATTTGATGATTCCATTTGTTTCCATTCAATGATGATTCCTTTCGTGTTCATTGATTATTCCATTCCATTCAATTTGATGATTCCATTCAAGTCCATTTGGTGATTCAATTCAATTCCATTCAATAATTCCTTTCGATTCCAATTGATGATGATTCCATTCGAGTCCGTTTGATGATTATTCCATTCGATTCTATTCGGTGAATACTTCCATTTCCATTTGATAATAATTCCGTTCGAGACCATTCAATGATTCCACTCAATTCATTCGATGATGATTCCATTCAATTCCATTCGATGCATGCATTAGATTCCATTTGATGATGATTCCATTCAATTTCATTCGATGATGATTCCATGCAATTCCATTTGATAATGACCCCTTTCATTTCCATTCGATGACGATTCCATTCGTTTCCATTCGATGATGATTCCTTTGGATTCCATTCGATAATGATTCCATTCCACTCCATTTAACGTTAATTCATTTCAATTCCATTTGATGATGATTCCATTTGATTTCATTCGATGATGATTCCATTTGATTACATTCAATGATGATTCCATTTGATTCCATTTGATGATTCCATTTGATTCCATACAATGATGATTCCATTCTAGTCCATTCAATGATTCCACTCTAGTCCATTCAGTGATGATTCCATTCGATTCCATTGGATGATTCCATTCGATTCCTTTCGATGAGTATTCCATTCGTGTCCATTCGGTGATTGCTTTCGTTGCCAATTGAACATTATTCCATTCAATTCCATTTGATGGTACCATTCGATACCATTCATTGATGATTCCTTTAGAGTGCATTCAATGATACCATTCGGTTCCATTTGATGATGATTCCATTCTATACTTCCATTCGATTCTATTCTATGATGATTCCAATTGATTTGATTCGATGCTGATTCCATTCAATTCCATTCGATGATTCCATTTGATTACATTCAACGATGATTCCATTCGCTTCCATTTGATGATTCCATTCGATTCTATTCGATGATGATTCCACTCGATTCCATTCGATGATGACTGCATTCGATTCCATTTGATGATTCCATTTGATTCCATTTGATGATGATTTTGATCAATTGCATTCAATGATTCCATTTGATGATTCCATTTGATTCCATTTGATGATGATTCTGATCAATTGCATTCAATGATTCCATTCGATTCCATTTGATGATTCCTTTTGATTCCATTAGATAATGATTCCATTCGAGTCCATTTGATAATTCCATTCGAGGATATTCGATAATTCCTTTTGAGTCCAATTGATGATTCCATTCAACACCATTCAATCATTCCATTTGAGTCCATTCGATAGTGATTCCATTCGAGTCCATTCGATAATTCCATTGGAGTCCATTCGATGATTGCATTTAATTCCATTTGCTGATATTCCATTCGAGTCCATTCGATGATTCCATTCGATGCTATTAGATGATGATTCCATTCATGTCCATTTGGTGAATCCATTCCATTCCATTCAATGATGATTCCTTTCGAGTCCATTCAATGTTTCCTTTCAATTCCATTCGATGATGATTCCATTTGAGTCCATTCAATGATTCCATTCAAGTCCATTTGATGATTCCTTTCAATTCCATTCGATGATGATTCCATTCGAGTCCATTCGATGATTCCATTCAATTCCATTCAATGATGATTCCATTCGAGTCCATTCGATGATTCCATTTGATTACATTCGATGATGATCCCATTCGATTCCATTTGATGATTCCATTCTATTCCATTCGATGATGATTCCATTCGAGTCCTTTCAATGTTTCCATTCGAGGCCATTTAATGATTCCATTGGGTTCAATTCAATGATGATTATATTGGATTCCATTCTATGATTCCATTCGATTCCGTTAATTGATTATTTGATTCCATTTGATGATGATTCCATTTGATTTCATTCAATGATTCTATTTGATTCCATTCAATGATGATTCAATTCTATTATATTGGATGATTCCATTTGATTCCATTCGATGATGATTCCATTCGATTCCATTCGATGATGATTCCATTCAGTTTCATTCGATGTTGATTCCATTCAATTCTATTCGATGATGGTTCCATTCGATTTCATTCGATGATTCTATTTGATTCCATTCGATGATGATTCAATTCTCTTCCATTGGATGATTCCATTTTATTCCATTCGATGATGACTCCTTTCAATTCCATTCGATGATGATTCCATTTGATTCCATTCGATGATGATTCCATTCGAGTCCATTTGATGATGATTCCATTCGATTCCATTCGATGATTCCATTCGATTCCACTCGATGGTGAGCAATTCGATTCAGTTCCATGATGATTCTATTTGATTCAATTAGATGATGTTTCCATTCGATTCCATTCGATGATGATTCCATTGGAATCCATTCAACGATGATTCCCTTTGAGTCCATTCGATGATGATTCCATATGAGTCCGTTTGATGATGATTCTATTTGATTTCATTCAATGCTTCTATTCGATTCCATTCAATGATGATTCCGTCTGATTCCATTCTATGATTCCATTCGATTCCATTCGATGCTTCTATTCGATTTCATTCGATGATGATTCCATTCAATTCCATTTGATAATTCCATTTGATTCCATTTGATGATGATTCCATTCGAGTCCATTCGATGATTCCATTCAAGTCCGTTAGATGATTCCGTTTGATTCCATTATATGATTCCACTCCAGTCCATTCAATTATTCCATTCGAGTCCATTCGATGATTCCATTCGATTCTGTTCAGTGATGATTCCATTCGATTCCATCTGAAGATGATTTCATTTGATTCCATTCTATGATGATTCCACTAGAGTCCATTGAATGATTCTATTTGATTCCATTCGATGCTGATTCCATTCAAATCCATTCGATTATTCCATTCAACTCCCTTCATTGATTCCATCCGATTCCATTTGATGATGATTCCATTCAGGTCCAATCGATGATTCCATTCAGTTCCATTCCATGATTCCATTCGAGTCCATTTAATTATTACATTCGTGTCCATTTGATGACTCTATTTGATTCCATTCAATGATGATTCCATTTGATTCCATTTGATGATCTCGTTTGATTCCTTTCAATGATTCCTTATGATTTCTTTCTATGATGATTCCATTCGTTGATGATTCCATTCGATTCCATCTGACGATGATTTCATTTGATTCCATTCTATGATGATTCCACTCGAGTCCATTGAATGATTCTATTTGATTCCATTTGATGCTGATTCCATTCAAATCCATTCGATTATTCCATTCAACTCCCTTCGTTGATTCCATCCGATTCCATTTAATGATGATTCCATTCGAGTCCAATCGATGATTCCATTCGGTTCCATTCTATGATTCCACTCGAGTCCATTTAATTATTACAGTCGTGTCCATTTGATGACTCCATTTTATTCCATTCAAGGATGATTCCATTTGATTCCATTTAATGATCCCGTTCGATTCCTTTCAATGATTTCTTGTGATTCCTTTCTATGATGATTCCATTCGATTCCATTCGTTGATGATTCCATTCAATTCCATTCGTTGATGATTCCATTCGATTCCATTCTATGATGATTCCTTTCAATTCCCATTTTTGATGATTCCATTAGATTCCATTTGATGATAATTCCATTCGACTCCATTTGAAGATGATTCCATTTGATTTGTCGATGGTTCCATTCGATTCCATTGGATGATTAATCCATTTGATTCCATTCGATGATTCCATTTGACGATTCCATTTGATTCCATTTGACAATGAGCCATTTGATTCAATTCCATGATGATTCCATTTGATTCAATTCAATGATGTTGCCATTCAATTCCATTCGATGATGATTCCACTCGATTCCATTCCACGATGTTTCCTTTTGAGTCCATTCGATGATGTTTCCATTCGATTCCGTTTGACTATGTTTCAATTTGATTTCATTCAATACTTCTATTTGATTTCATTCGATGATGATTCCATCACTTTCCCTTCGATGATTCCATTCGATTCCATTCAGTGAGGTTTCCATTTGATTCCATCTGATGATGATTTCTTTTGATTCGTTTTGATGATGATTCCATTCGAGTCCATTCGATGATTCCATTGGACTCCAATTGATCATTCCATTTGATTCCATTCGATGATGATTCTATTCATGTCCATTCGATGATTCCATTCGATTTCATTTGATGATGATTCCACTTGTGTTCATTTGATGATTCCATTCAATTACATTTGATGATGACTCCATTTGAGTCGATTTGATGATTCCATTCAATTCCATTCAATGACAATTCCATTCGAGTCCATTTGATGAATCCATTCGATTCCATTCAATGATGATTCCATTCGAGTCCATTCGATGATTCCATCCAACTCAATTTGGTGATGATTCAATTCAATGACATTTGATAACTCCATTCAATTTCATTTGATGATGACTCCATTCGATTCCAATTGATGATTCCATTCGATTCCCTTCGATGATGATTATATTTGAGTGCATTTGGTGATTCTATTCCTTTCCATTCGATGATGATTCCATTTGATTCCATTCGATGATTATTGCTATCGATCCCATTCAGTGATTCCTTTTGATTCCATTAGAAGATTATTCCGTTAGATTCCATTAGACGATTACATTCGATTTTATTTGATGATTCCTTTCGATTCATTTCAATGGTGATTCCTTTAGACTCCATTCGATGATTCCATTCGAGTCCATTCGATGATTCCATTCAAGTCCATCTGACTATTCCATTCTTTTCCATTTGATGATGATTCCGTTAGGGTCCATTCGATGCTTCCATTCGAGTCCATTTGATAATTCCTTTCAAGTCCTTTTGATCACTCCATTCGAGTCCATTCGATGATTCTATTCAATTCCATTCGATGACGAATCCATTCGAGTCCATTCAATGATTGCATTCGAGTCCATTTGATGATTCCGTATGATTCCATTTGACAATGATTCCATTCATTTCCATTTGATGATTCCATTCATTTCCATTTGATGATGATTCCATTCGAGTGTATTTGATGATTCCATTCAAATCCGTTCATGATTCCATTTGAGTCCTTTTGATCATTCCACGTTATTCCATTCGATGACTATACCATTCAAATCCATTTGATGACTCCATTTGATTCCATTCGATGATACCATTTGAGTACATTCGATAATTCCATTTGATTCCATTTGATGATTATTCCATTGGAGTCCACTTAGTGAATCCTTTAGATTCCACTCAAAGATGATTCCATTCGATTCCATTGGATGAAACCATTCAATTCCATTCGTTGATGATTCCATTCGAGTGTATTTGATGATTCCATTCAAATCCGTTCATGATTCCATTTGAGTCCTTTTGATCATTCCACGTTATTCCATTCGATGACTATACCATTCAAATCCATTTGATGACTCCATTTGATTCCATTCGATGATACCATTTGAGTACATTCGATAATTCCATTTGATTCCATTTGATGATTATTCCATTGGAGTCCACTTAGTGAATCCTTTAGATTCCACTCAAAGATGATTCCATTCGATTCCATTGGATGATACCATTCAATTCCATTCGTTGATGATTCCATTCAAGAGCATTCCATGATATCATTCAATTCCATTTGATGATGATTCCATTCGATTCCATTCGATGATTCTATTTGATTCCATTCGATGATGACTCCATTCGAGTCAATTCGATGATTCCATTGGACTCCATTTGATGATGATACCTTTCAATGATTCCATTTGATTCTATTTGATAATGATTCCATTCGATTCCATTCAATGATGATTCCATTGGATTCCATTTGATGATTCCATTCAATTCCATTCGACGATGATTCCATTTGATTACATTTGATAATTCCATTCTATTCTATTCAATGATGATTCCTTTCGATTACATTCGATGATGATTCCATTCGAATCCATTCAATAATTCCATTCGATTTTATTTGATGATCATTCCATTCAGTTCCATTTGATGATGACTGCAATAGTTTCCATTCGATGATTCCATTTGATTCCATTCGATCATGATTCTGATCTAGTCCATTCGATGATTCTATTCAATTCCTTTTGATGATTCCATTTGATTCCGTTTGATAATGATTCCATTAGAGTCCATTCGATATTTCCATTCGAGCCCATTCGATAATTCCATTTGGGCCCAATCAATGATTCCATTCGAGTCCATTTGATCATTCCATTTGAGTCCATTCGATGATGATTCCATTTGTGTACATTCAATGATTCCAATCAAGTCCATTCAATAATTCCATTTGATTCCATTAGATGATAATTCCATTTGAGTCCATTGGATGATGATTCCATTCGACTTCATTCAGTGATTCCATTCTATTCCATTCGATGGTGATTCCATTCCAGTCCATTTGATGATGATTCCATTCGATACCATTTGATGATTCAGTTCAATTCCATTTGATGACTCTCTTTGATTCCTTTTGATGATGATTCCATTTGATTCCATTTGATGATTCCTTTCAATTTTATTGAATGATGATTCCATTTGATTCCATTTGATGATGCTTCCTTTTGATTCCATTTGATGATGATTCCATTTGATTCCATTTGATGATGCTTCCTTTTGATTCCATTTGATGATGATTCCATTCGTTTCCTTTCAATGATGATTCCTTTTGACTCCATTTGATGATGATTCCATTCGATTCCATTGACGACGTTTGCATTCGACTCCATTCAATGATTCCATTCGAGTCCATTCAAAGATGATTCTATTTTATTCAATTTGATGAATATTCCTTTCGAGTCCATTAGATGATTCGGTTTGATTCCATTTGATGATTCCATTTGATTCAATTTGATGATGATTCCATTCGATTCCATTCGATGATGATTCCGTTTGGAGACATTCGATGATGATTCCATTCAAATCCATTCAATGATGACACCGTTAGTTTCCATTTGAGGATGATTCCGTTCTGTTCTATTCAATGATGATTCCGTTAGATTCCATTGAATAATTCCATTCCATTCCATTCATTGATGATTCCTTTTGAATACATTTGAGGATGATTCTTTCAGATTCCATTCGATGATGATTCCATTAGAACCAATTCGATGTTGATTCCATTGGATTACCTTCGATGATGATTCCATTCGATTCATTTCATGATTCTATTCGAGTCCATTCAACTCTGTGACTTGAATGCAAACATCACAAAGAAGTTCCTGAGAATGCTTCTGTCTACATTTTATATGACGATATTCCCGTTCCAAAGAATTCCTCAAAGCTATCCAACTATCCAATTGCAGATTCTGCAAAAAGAGAGATTCAAAACTACTCCACCAAAAGGAAGGTTCAACTCCGTTAGTTGAGTACACACTTCACAAACAAGTTTCTGAGAATGCTTCTGTCTAGTTTTTATGGGAAGATATTTCCTTTTTCAACACAGGCCTCAAAGCACTCCAAATGTCCACTTCCAGATAACAAAAAAAGAGAATTTGAAACCTGCTCTATGAAAAAGAGTGTTCAACACTGTGACTTGAATGCAAACATCACAAATATGTATCTCAGAATGCTTCTGTCCAGTTTTATATGAACATATTCCCGTTACCAATGTAATCCTAAAAGCTATCCAAATATCCACTTGCCGATTACACAAAAAGAGTGTTTCAAAACTGCTCAATCAAAAGAAACGTTCAACACTGTTAGTTGAGTACACACATCACAAACAAGTTTCTAGGAATGCTTCGGTCAGGTTTTTATGGGAAGATATTTCCTTTTTCATCCTAGGCCTCAAAGCGCTTTAAATTTACACTTCCAGATACTACAAAGAGTTTTTCAAACCTTCTCTGTGAAAGGAAAGGTTCAACTGTCTGACTTGAATGATATCATCTTAATGAAATTACTGGGAATGTTTCTATCTAGGTTTCATATGAAGATATTCCCGTTTCCAATGAAATCCTCAAAGCCATCAAAAACACCCATGTGCAGATTCTACAAAAAGAGTGTTTCAGAACTGCTCTATCAAAAGAAAGCTTCAACTCCGTTGGTTGAGTACACACATCACAAACACGTTTCTGAGAATGCTTCTGTGTACTTTTTACGGGAAGAGATTCCCTTTTTCACCACTGGCCTCAAAGCGCTCCAAATGTCCACATCCAGATACTACAAAAAGAGTGTTTCAAACCTGCTCTATGAAAGGGAATGTTCAACTGTGACTTGAATGCAAACAACAATAAGAAATTTCTGAGAATGCTTCCACTTTCTATATGTAAATATTCCCGTTTCCAACGAAATCCTCAAAGCTATCCAAATATCCACGTGCAGATTCCACAAAAACAGAGTTTCAGAACTGCTCTATCAAAAGAAAGGTTCAACAGTGTTAGTTGAGTGCACACATCACAAACAAGTTTCTGAGAATGCTTCTGTCTAGTTTTTAATGGAAGAGATTCCCTTTTTCACCATAGGCCCCAAAGCGCTCCAAATGTCCACCTCCAGAAAGTACAAAAGACTGTTTCAAATCTGCTCTGTGAAAGGCAATGTTCAACTCTGTGACTTGAATGCAAACATCAAAAAGTAGTTTCTGAGAATGCTTATACTTTTTATATGAAGATATTCCCGTTTCCAATGAATTCCTCACAGCTATCCAAATATCCACTTGCAGATTCTACAACACGAGTGTTTCAAAACTGCTCTATCAAAAGAAAGGATAAACTCTGTTAGTTGAGTACACACATCACAAACAAGTTTCTGAGAATGCTTCTGTCTAGTTTTCATGAAAACAGATTTCCTTTTCCACCTTACACGTAAAAGAGCTCCAAATGTCCAATTCCAGATACTACAAAAAGAGTGTTTCAAACCTGCTCTATGAAAGGGAATGTTCAACTCTGCGACTGGAATGCAAACAACACAAAGAACTTTCTGAGAATGCTTCTGTCTAGATTTTATATAAAGATATTCTGTTTTCCAACGAAAGTCTCTAAGCTATCCAAATATCCACTTGCAGATTCTACAAAAGAGCGTTTCAGAACTTCTGTATCAAAAGAATGGTTCAACTCTGTTAGTAGAATGCACACATAACAAACAACTTTCTGAGAATGCTTCTCTCTAGTATTCATGGGAAGAGATTTCCTTTTTCACCCTAGGCTTCAAAGTGATCCCAAAGTCCACTCCCAGATTCTACAAAAAGAGTGTTTCAAACCTCCTCTATGATAGGGAATGTTCGACTCCCTTACATGAATGTAAACATCACAAAGAAGTTTCTGAGAAGGCTGCTTTCTACTTTTTATATGAAGATATTCCAGTTTCCAACGAAATCCTCAAAGCTATCCAAATATACACTTGCAGATTCAACAGAAAGAGAGTTTGAAAACTGCTCTATTAAAAGAAAGCGTCAACACTGTTAGTTCAGTACACACGTCACAAACTAGCTTCTGAGAATGCTTCTTTCTGGTTTTTATGGGAAGATTTTCCTTTTTCACCATAGGCTTCAAAGCGCTCCAAATGTCCAGTTCCAGATACCACAAAAAGAGTTTTTCAAACCTGCTCTATGAAAGGGAATATTCAACTCTGGGACTTGAATGCAAACATCACAAATAAATTTCTGAAAATGCTTCTGTCTACTTTTTTTATGAAGATATTCCGTTTCCACCGAAATCCTCAGAGCTATCCAAATATCCAGTTGCAGATTCTACAAAAAGAGTGTTTCAAAACTACTCTATCAAAAGAAAGATTCAACTCTGTTAGTTGAGTAGACACATCACAAAGGAGTTTCTGAGAATGCTTCTGTGTAGTTTTTATGGGAAGAGATTTCCTTGTTCACCATAGGCCTCAAAACGCTCCAAATATCCTCATCCAGATACCACAGAAAGACTGTTTCAAACCTGCTCTGTGAAAGGGAAGGCTCAACTCTGTGACTTGAATACAAACATCACACAGATGTTTCTGAGAATAATTCTGTCTAGATTTTATATGAACATTTTCCCATTTCCAACGAAATCCTCCAACCTATCAAAATATCCACGTTCAGATTCAACAAAAAGAGTGTTTCAGAACTGCCCTATCAAAACAAAGGTCCAAGTCTGTTATTTCAGCACATACATAACAAACAAGTTTCTCAGAATTCTTCAGTCTAGTTTTTAGGGGAAGATATTTCCTATTGAAAAAAAGGCTTCAAAACGCCCAAATGTCCACTTCCAGATACTACAAAATAGTGTTTCAAACCTGCTCTATGAAAGGGAATGTTAAACTCTGTGACTTGAATGCAAACATCACAAAGTAGATTCTGAGAATCCTTCTGTATAAATTTTATACGAAGGTATTCCCATTTCCAATGAAATCCTCAAAGCTATCCAAATATCCAATTGCAGATTCTACAAAAAGAGAGATTGAAAACTGCCCTATTAATCGAAAGTTTCAAAACTGTTACTTCAGTACACACATCACAAACAAGTTTCTGAGAAAGCTTCTATGTAGTTTTTAGGGGAAGATTTTTCCTTTTTCACCATAGGCCTCAATGCACTCCAAATGTTCTCTTCCAGATACTACAAAAAGACTGTTTCAAACCGGCTCTGTGAAAGGGAATGTTCAACTCTGTTACATGAATGCAAACATCACAAAGAAGTTTCTGAGACTGCTTCTTCTTTATATATGGATATATTTCCATTTCCAACGAAATGCTCAAAGCAATCCAAATATCCACTTGAAGATTCCACAACAAGAGTGTTTCAAAACTGCTCTATCAAAACAAAGGTTCAACTCTGTTAGTTGAGTACACACATCAGAAACAAGTTTCTGAGAATGCTTCAGTCTAGTTTTTATGGGAATTGATTTCCTTTTTCACCATAGACCAAAAAGCGCTAAAAATGTCAACTTCCAGATACTACAAAAAGAGAGATTCAAACCTGCTCTATGAAAGGGAATGTTAAACTCTGTAACTTGAATAAAAACATCACAAAGAAGTTTATGAGAATATTTCTGTCTAGATTTTTTATGAAGATATTCCCGTTTCCAACGAAATCATCAAAGCTATCAAAATATACACGTTCAGATTCTACAAAAAGAGTGTTTCAGAACTGCTCGATCAAAAGAAAGGATCAACTCTGTTAGTTGAGTACACACATCACAAAGAAGGTTCTGAGAAGGCTTCTGTCTAGTTTTTAGGGGAAGAGCTTTCCTTTTTCACCTTAGTCGTCAAAGCGCTCCAAATGTCCTCTTCCAGATACTACAAAAAGAGTTTTTCAAACCTGCTATATTAAAGGGAAATTTCAACTCTGTCACTTGAATGCAATCATCATAAAAAGTTTCTGAGAATGCTTCTGTCTAGATTTTATATGATCCTGTTTCCAACGAAATCCTCAAAGCTATCCAAATATCCACTTTCAGATTCAACAGACAGAGTGTTTCAGCTCTGCTCTATCAAAAGTAAGGTTCAACTCTGTTACTTGAGTACACACATCACAAACAAGTTTCTGGGAATGTTTCTGTCTAGTTTTAATTGGAAGATATTTCCTTTTTCATCATAGGCCTCAAAGAGTTCCAAATGTCCACTTCCAGATACTACAAAAAGACTGTTTCCAACTTGCTCTGTGAAAGGGAATTCTCAACTCTGTTACTTGAATACAAACATAACATAGAACTTTCCGAGAATGCTTCTTCTTTTTATATGGAGATATTCCCGTTTCCAACGAAATCCTCAAAGTAATCCAAATATCCACCTGAAGATTCTACAAAAAGCGTGTTTCAAAACTGCTCTATCAAAAGAAAGGTTCAACTCTGTTAGTTGAGTACACACATAAGAAACAAGTTTCTGAGAATGCTTCAGTCCAGTTTTTATGGGAAGAGATGACCTTTTACACCATAGGCCTCAAAGTGCTAAAAATGTCCACTTCCACATACTACAAAAAGAGTGTTTCAAGCCTGCTCTGTAAAAGGGAATGTTCAAATCTGTGACTTGAATACAAACATCACAAAGAAGTTTCTGAGAATAAATATATCCAGATTTAAATGAAGATATTCCCGTTTCCAACGAAATCCTCAAATCTTTCCAAATATCCACGTTCAGATTCTACAAAAAGTGTGTTTCAGGACTGCTCTATCAAAAGAAAGCTTCAACTGTGTTAGTTCAGTACACACATCACAAACAAGTTTCTGAGAATGCTTCAGTCTAGTTTTTATGGGAAGACAATTCCATTTTCACCATAGGTCTAAAAGCGCTGAAAATGTCCACTTCCAGATACTACAAAAAGAGAGTTTCTAACCTGCTCTACGAAAGGGAATGTTAAACTCTGTGACTTGAATGCACACTTCACAAAGAAGTTTCTGAGAATGCTTCTCTCTAGATTTTATATGATGATATTCCCGTTTAAAACGAAATCCTCAAAGCTATCCAAATATCCACTTGCAGATTTTACAAAAAGAGTGTTTGAAAGCTGCACTATCAAAAGAAATGTTCAACACTGTTAGTTGAGTAAAAATATCCAAAACAAGTTTCTGAGAATCCTTCTGTCTAGATTTTATGGGAAGATATTTCCCTTTTCACCATAGGCCTCATAGCACTCCAAATGTCCACTTCCAGATACAACAAAAAGAGTGTTTCAAACCTGCTCTATGAAAGGGAATATTCAACTCATGGACATGAATGCATTCATCACAAAGAAGTTTCTTAAAATGCTTCTGTCTATTTTTATATGAAGATATTCCCGTTTCCTCCGAAATCCTCAAAGCTATCCAAATATCCACTTGCAGATCCTACAAAAAGAGTGTTTCAATAATGCTCTATCAAAAGAAAGGTTGAATTCTGTTAGTGGAGTACACACATCAGAAACAAGTTTCTGAGAATGCTTCAGTCTAGTTTTTATGGGAAGAAATTTTATTTTTCACCATAGGCCTCAAAGCGCTCCAAATGTCCACTTCCAGATACTATAAAGAGTGTTTCAAACCTGTTCTATGAAAGGGAATGTTCAACTCTGGGACTTGAATGCATATATCACAAAGAAGTTTCTGAGAATGCTTCTTCTTCTCATATGGACATAATCCCTTTTCCAACGAAATCCTCAAAGCAATCCAAATATCCACTTGCAGATTCTATAACAAGAGTGTTTCAAAACTGCTCTACCAAAAGAAAGGTTCAACTCTGTTAGTTGTGTACACACATCAAAAAACAAGTTTCGGAGAATGCTTCTGTCTACTTTTTATGGGAAGAATTTTTATTTTTCACCATAGGCCTCAAGCGCTCCAAATGTCCACTTCCAGATCCTACAAAAAGAGTGTTTCATACCTGCTCTATGAAAGGGAATGTTCAACTCTGTGACTTGAATGCAATCATCATAAAGAAGTTTCTGAGAATGCATCTGTCTAGATTTTATATGATGATATTCCCGTTTCCAACGAAATCTTCAAAGCTATCCAAATATCCACATGAAGATTCAACCAACAGAGTGTTTCCGATCTGCTCTATCAAAAGAAAGGTTCAACTCTGTTAGTTGAGTGGACACATGACAAACAAGTTTCTGAGAATGCTTCTGTCTAGTTTTTATGGGAAGAGTTTTCCTATTCCACCATAGGCCTCAAAGCGCTCCAAATGTCCACTTCCAGATACTACAAAAAGAGTGTTTAAAACCTGGTCTATGAAAGGGAATGTTCAACTCTCGGAGTTGAACGCAAACATCACAATGACTTTTCTGAGAAGGCTTCCATCTACATTTATATGAAGATAATCCCATTTCCAACGAATTCCTCAAATCTATCCAAATATCCTCTTGTAGATTTTACAAAAAGTGTGTTTGAAAGCTGCTCTATCAAAAGAAAGGTTCAACACTATTAGTTGAGTAAAAACATCCAAAACAAGTTTCTGAGAATCCTTCTGTCTAGATTTTATGGGAAGATATTTCCTTTTTCACCATAGGCCTCAAAACGCTCCAAATGACCACTTCCAGATACTATAAAGTAGTGTTTCAAACCTGCTCTATGAAAGGGAATGTTAAACTCTGTGACTTGAATCCAAACATCACAAAGAAATTTCTGAGGATGCTTCTGCTTTTTATATAGAGATATTCCCGTTTCCATCGAAATCCTCAAAGCAATCCAAATATCCACTTGCAGATTCCACAAAACGGGTGTTTCAAAACTGCTCTATCAAAAGAAAGATTCAACTCTGTTAGTGGAGTACACACATCAGCAACAAGTTTCTGAGAATGCTTCAGTCTAGTTTTTATGGGAAGAAATTTTATTTTTCACCATAGGCCTCAAAGCACTCCAAATGTCCACTTCCAGATACTATAAAGAGTGTTTCAAACCTGCTCTATGAAAGGGAAGGTTCAACTCTGGGACTTGAATGCATATATCACAAAGAAGTTTCTGAGAATGCTTCTACTTCTCATATGGAGATAATCCCTTTCCAACGAAATACTCAAAGCAATCCAAATATATACACTGGCAGATTCTATAACAGGAGTCTTTCAAAAATGCTCTAACAAAAGACAAGTTCTAATCTGTTAGTTGAGTACACAAGTCAGAAAGAAGTTTCTGAGAATGCTTCAGTCTAGTTTTTATGGGAAGAAATTTTATTTAAAACCATAGGCCTCGAAGTGCTACAAATGTCCACTTCCAGATACTATAAAAAGAGTGTTTCAAACCTGCTCTATGAAAGGGAATGTTCACGTCTGGGACTTGAATGCATATATCACAAAGAAGTTTCTGAGAATGCTTCTACTTTTAATATGGAAAAAATCACTTTTCAACGATATCCTCAAAGCAATCCAAATATACACTTCCAGATTCTATAACAAGAGTGTTTCAAAACTGCTCTATCAAAAGAAAGGTTCAACTCTGTTAGTTGACTACACATATCAAAAAAAAGTTTCTGAGAATTCTTTTGTCTAGTTGTTAAGGGAAGAGATTTTCTTTTTCACCATAGGTCTCAAAGCGCTCCAAATCTCCACTTCCAGATTCTACAAAAAGAGTTTTTCAAACCTGCTCTATGAAAGGGAATGTTCATCTCTGGGACTTGAATGCATATATCACAAAGAATTTTTTGAAAATGCTTCTACTTTTCATATGGAGATAATCCCTTTTCCAACGTAATCCTCAAAGCAATCCAAAAATCCACTTGCAGATTCTATAACAAGAGTGCTTTAAAACTGCTCTATCAAAAAAAAGGTTCAACTCTCTTAGTTGAGTACACATATCAAAAACAAGTTTTTGAGAATGCTTCTGTCTAGTTGTTAAGGGAAGAGACATTCTTTTTCATCATAGGCCTCAAAGCGATCCAAATGTCCATTTCCAGATTCTACAAAAAGTGTGTTTCAAACCTGCTCTATGAAAGGGAATGTTCAACTCTGTGACTTGAATGCAATCATCATAAAGGAGTTTCTGAGAATGCATCTGTCTAGATTTTATATGATGATATTCCCATTTCCAACGAAATCCTCAAAGCTACCCAAATATCCAATTGCAGAATCTACAAACAGAGTGTTTCTGATCTGCTCTATCAAAAGAATGGTTCAACTCTGTTAGTTGAGTAGACACATGACAAACAAATTTCTGAGAATGCTTCTGTCTAGTTTTTATGGGAAGATGTTTCCTTTTTCTCCATAGGTCTCATAGCGCTCCAAATATCCACTTCCAGATACAACAAAAAGAGTGTTTCAAACTTGCTCTATGGAAGGGAATATTCAACTCATGGACTTGAATGCATTCATCACAAAGAAGTTTCTGAAAATGCTTCTGTCTACTTTTTATAGGAAGATATTTCCGTTTCCTCCGAAATCCTCAAATCCATCCAAATATCCACTTGCAGATCCTACAAAAAGAGTGTTTCAAACCTGCTCTATGAAAGGGAATGTTCAACTCTGTGACTTGAATGCAATCATCATAAAGAAGTTTCCCAGAAGGCTTCTGTCTACTTTTTACATGAAGATAATCCCGTTTCCAAAGAAATCCTCAAAGCTATCCAAATATCCACTTGTAGATTTTACAAAAAGAGTGTTTGAAAGCTGCTCTATCAAAAGAAAGGTTCAATACTTTTAGTGGAGTACACACATCCCAAACAAGTTTCTGAGAATCCTTCTGTCTACATTTTATGGGAAGATATTTCCTTTTTCACCATAGGCCTCAAAACGCTCCAAATGTCCACTTCCAGATACTATAAAAGGAATGTTTGAAACCTGCTCTGTGAAAGGGAATGTTCCACGCTGTGACTTGAATGCAAACATCACAAAGAAGTTTCTGAGAATGCTTCTTCTTTTCATATGGAGATAATCCCATTTCCAACGAAATCCTCAAAGCAATCCAAATATCCACTTGCAGATTCTATAACAAGAGTGTTTCAAAACTGTTCTATCAAAAGAAAGGTGCAACTCTGTTAGTTGAGTACACACATCAGGAACAAGTTTCTGAGAATGCTTCAGTCTAGTTTTTTTTTTTTTTTTTTAAA